>NC_000013.11:82687644-82840484 GCF_000001405.40 Homo sapiens
AATACTGAGAGCTCTAGTTCAGGTTTCACATGAATTTTACCTTCAATGATAGCAAAAAAACTCTGTTCCATAATCTTGAATATTTTGAAGTACGTACATACACATAGACACACATTTTAAAGTCAGATAGGCAAACAATTCTGTGACAATCAATTAATATTTATGTTAGTATCTCTTAAGCTCAACATTCTGCTCTCATAGTTGAATGCAGTGGGGTATCAATGATATGAAATATCATCTCTTTTCCTGGTAATAAATGGATGTCATATTAATAAGTTCATTTGTATTAAAACTGTATGTATGAAAAAAAAGAAATATCATCTCTTTTCAATCTCAACAATGTAGGAGATAGCATGAGTAAAACATCAAGCCACCAGAGCTAAGGAGAATATTTTAGCAGTGTAACTTAGGAAATGCTCAGCAGAAGTCTATTTTCAGCTCAGCTGAAATGATCTGGAAATGATTCTTCCTGCCAAGAGGATAACATGAAATGTATATAGCAAACTTATCCCTATTCCTTGCTTACCAGCTTTAGTTTGTGTAAATTGTCTCTGAAAAACCTTCCACTCAGTGAAAGAGATTTTTAGGTAAATTAGTATCAATGCAACAATTTTAATTTTTGTTAGTATACTTTCATAATTACAGAGACGTTGTAAAGCAGTATAGAGAACTCCTGTATACCCTTTACTTATATTAACATGTTGCTCATTTGTCTATATATCTCTCTTTCCAAGCACAGACCCATTTATTTTTGAATAATGTAATAGGAATCTGCAGATATTATGTCCCATAATCAATATAAACTTCATTGTATTTTATGCTAATGTCTAATGCAATCACAGGCCTAGTCTTCTATAATCCTCAATTTGAGAAGGGATATGAGTATAAATATCTGGAAGCACATTTCATGTTCAAAATAATAGTCAATTGCATGAATAAACAATACTTTTACCTAAAGGCTGTTCTGTTTGAAAGGTAACAGTTACACACAGTAGCTTTTCTTTCTCTTCAGCATTTGTTTCATGTGCCCCAAAACTTACTGGTTCTGTAAACTAAAATAGCTTTGAGAACTTTACAAGATTATAGATAACTCTCAATTCTGGTTCCGTGATAAAACTGAAAGTGAAACCTGTTGAATTCATATCTGTGGTGCACTCAATTTGTTTTTGTTGTTTTTTGACTCAGTATTACATTTGCAGGTCTGATGAAGCAATTAACTACTCAGGCACCCAGACAGCATTTTTTCCCACCTAATTAGGGATTTTTTTTTCATATCATAATAAATTTCTATTTTAATTCGTTCATAAAATTATGACCATTAGTATTTTGATGCTCAAAATGTCCAGTATTTGCCCCATGGGAATTCTTTAACCTGCCTTTTTGTGACTTTGATCATGGCCTGATCATTTTTTGAGCTCTTCCTTATTTTCTGGCACAAAACATATTCCAGTCTCATCTTGTATTTGCTCTCTCTCAGAACTGGAACCTGTATTTTTTTCAAGGTGTCCTATTTTATGGACAATCATGGAGAATGATTTTTGGAAACAGAGATCTTGGCCTCAATATGTTTATTGCTCTTTTAATGTTGCTGCACTCATGCTCTTACAGTGAACAGAGCAAACTTCACACACACACCTGTACATTACTATATATGTGTCTCCTATCTATCTATCCTATCTATCTATCTATCTATCTATCTATCTATCTATCTATCTATCTATCATCTATCTATATCTATCTATCTATCATCTATCTATCATCTGTCATCTACCTATCTCCATTGTCTATCAAAATCAATGATCACATCGATTTCTTGAATTCTGTATTTGTAATTCCCTTTTCAGGAAAAGAGAAGCCACTCTCCCATTATTCTCAACATGTTTATTCATTTAAGCTTTTCTCCAGTGTGTAACCCAGTGCTGGCACAGCTTGGAAATGTGTACAGATATCTCCTTGCTCAAACTGGTGTACACTAACAACCCTCTTCTAAACTTGTACCCCCAACCTATCATATGGACTCACCCAATTCAGCTCTAGCCCCATGCCAGTTTGCATTCCTATATTAATTCACTTCTCACCTCAACACTTTACAACTCATCACTGCCAACCATACAGGCATGAAAGTACTCCTATCCCCATTGGACTCTGTCACTCCTACTGATTAAATAATTATTAAACCATGAGGCCTGGCACAGTGGCTCACACCTATTGAGAAACCAAGGTGTGAGCATCACTTGAGACCAGGAGTTTGAGACCAGCCTGGGCAACATAGCGAGATCCTATTTCTTCAAAAAATATAAAACAGCTGGTATACTTGGCACATGCCTGTAGTCCTAGCTACTCAGGAGGCTGAAGCAGGAGAATCACTTGAGCCCAGAGGTTCCAGGCTGCAGTGAGCTGATCATACCTCTCTCTACAGTCTGGTTTGGGAAATGTGACGAGACCCTGTCTCAAAAATTAAATTAAATTAAATTAAAACGTGCTTTAATTTCAGAAAGTACATTCTCTCCCACAATCTAAAATGAATTAGTGTCTTAGTTATATACTCTTCATAATTAAGATACTCTTTTTAAAATTTTTTAAAATTTGTAGTTTTTGTGGGTATATAGTACGTGTATATATTTATGGGGTACATGAGATATTTTGATACAGGCACAAAATGTGAAGTAAGCATATCATGGGGAATGGAGTATTATCCTCTCAAGCATTTATCTTTTGAGTTACAAAATAATCCAATTACACTCTTCAAGTTATTTTAAAATGTACAATTAAGTTATTGACTCTGGTCACCCAATTGTGCTATCAAATATTAGATCTTAAACATTCTTTTTTTTTTTTTGTACGGTTAACCATCATCATTTACCTAATTCTTATTTTCTTAAACACTTTTAAAAATTAAGAGCTTAAAAACGATAAAGCATTAATTTAAAAAACTCATTAGCGGTGGGTGTGGTTGCTCACACCTGTAATCCCATCACTTTGGGAAGCTGAGGAAGGAGGATCACTTGAGCCCAGGGTTCAAGAGCAGCCTGGGCAACATGGCAAAACTCCATCTCTACAAAAAATACAAAAATTATCTGGGCATGATGGCACACACCTGTAGTTCCAGCTACTCAGGAGGCTGAGGTGGGAGGATCGCTTGAGCCCTGGCAGTTGAAGCTGCAGGTAGCCATGTTGTGCCACTGCACTCCAGCCTGAGTGACAGAGCTAGACCCTGTATCAAAAAACAAAACAAAAACAAAAAACACTAAAAAAAAAAACCCAGCACACACAAAAAGTCTCATTAATATTCTGAGACTGCAGTAGTCACAAATCGTTTAATACAAATGAGTATACTTTTATTATTATTATTACTTTGGTATACAGACCTCAGTTGCTTAGAATTGACATTATTACAATCTTTTGCTTATGCCATAATCTCATTCAAATCTGTGCATGGTCGTTTTGTACTTATGTATTCACATTGTTTATCTAGTTTTCAGTAATTAGTAAGTACCAGTAAACTCGCTGGGGAATTGAACTGATATGCTCCTGTGCACCATTATCAGTTGGCATCTATCTCACTTGAGAAACTGTACTGAACCCTGCAATCCTGGTTATATAGTTGTCATGTTTTTTTTTTAATTGACAGATAAAATTGTCTGTATTTACTGCATAAAACATGATGTTTTGAAGTATACATACATTGTGAAATGACTAAATCTAGATAGTTAACATATGTATTACCTCACATAGTTTCTTATTTTGTTGTGGCAAGACACTTTCACTCTTAGCATTTTTCAAGAATGCAATGTACTAACTGTAGTCACCATGTTGTTCAACAGATCTCTTGAGCTTATCTCCACTATTTTGTATCCTTTGGGATACAATAATTCTGTATCCTTTGACCAACTCTCCTCATCCCCTACCACTCTATCCCTTGGTAATCACCATTCTAGTCTCTATTTCTATGAGATCTTTCCATGTATGAGTGGGATCTTTCTCTGCCTAGCTTACTTCACTTAAATAATGTCCTCCAGGTTCATCCATGTTGTTGCAAATGACTTGATTTCCTTCCTTTTCACAGCGGAATAGTATTCCATTTTGTAGGTATACCATATTTTCTTTATTCATTAATTTTTAATGGACACACATTTCTTCATGTGTTAGTTATTGTGAATAGTGCTGTAATAAACATGGGAGTGGAAATCTTTTTGAAGTATAGATTTTTTTTTTAATGTATTGCCAGTAGTTGGATTGATGAATCAAATGGTAATTTAATTTTTAATTTTTTTTTTTGAGGAAAATTTCTATTATTTTCTATACTGGCCATTTGACTTTACATTTCCACCAACAGTGTTATATAGTTTTAATGCATCTGCATATTTACTAAAATGTACATATGCATATGAACACATAAAAACACACATCTTTTTTTAACCTTGGAAACTGGATATCACTTTCCATGTCCATTTTTGGGAGTCTTAATTAATTTACTTAGTACTATTAAATATCTGTGATTCATCCCTATTGTACTTTGTCTTAATTTAATCATTTAACAGCAATATAATATTGTTTTGTTCATTAATTTATTTTCCTGCCAAGGAAAATTGTGTTTATTTTCTGAAATGTGTTACTGTGAAAAGCATTGCCGTGAAAATTCTTGGAAATGTATCATAGAGTACATATGACAAAATTTTTCTTTGTTATATACTGGGGGATAGAACTGCTGAGTTGTAGAGTACACAGTATTGACAACCTTCAGAAATAGAATCCACTTAAAATCCCACCAGTAATGTAGCATCTGGAGTCACATACTAACAAATGGCTCTGTCAGATTTTGTTATTTGTATAATTAAATAAATGAATTTTTTGAAATTATTTTATTCATAATTTGAATTTCACAATTATTAGTATTTTTTCCCGGGCTTTGATTTATGACAGGAGAATTATTATTTTTTTTACTAAAAGAGCTGAGGTTTTGGACAAGTTTGATAGTCTATGATTTTAGTACTGAGACAAAAATTTTGGTGAGTCTTTCTTTATAATTTTACTCATATTCATCATGGCAGGCAGGCAAGCCCCCTTTTTAAACACTTCAATTTTAGAATCTTAATTATTTCCCAAAAATAATTACTGTATTAAGTGCTGTATCTTATATACAGTCTATTGTTATTTTAACTTTCAGCTCTACCTTAGGAGTCTTCTCAAATTACAGTAGATATAAACCTGGTATAAAATGGCTTATTCTGCATATGGCCTGATGTGGTTCAATTTAATCTAAATATTTTATGGTCAATTATAGCTTCTCAAATAACTTTTAATTCTTATTGACCAGCATTATTGACATCTTACCATGATCAATAAATCTATGTATTATCTTTATCCATTTTATAATTCTTATAATATTACACTGGGTTTATAACATGGACAATGGTTTTATAAGTCTATCCAATTTAATACTAAATAAACTAGTTATAAAATAGACACACAAATCAATGGAAGGGTATAAATCCGGAAAATAAATTCATTAATATTATGACAAGGTCATGAGTGTTATTTAGCTCCTTAGCCTGTACTCACAGTGTATGCTTCTTAATTTGATAATTTATGTCACAAAATATTTATAAATGGTTGTCTTTACATTACTATTTTAATATTAAACTTATATAAATGTATTAAAATATAACTTCAACATATAATTTACTGTAAATTTAAAGTGAGTCTAACTGTAGGCTCACTTTAAATTTCTATCTCCCAAGAATTTTACTTTCTAAAATTATGATACAAAAAGATTGCTTATAACAATAAACATTTAATTTAATAACAATAATATATGAGAAATTAGATTTAAAATAGTATCTTCTAGGAGGCAATTCTTCAAAACATCTAATATTCATAGACAGTAGGTCACAGTGTTTGTGACATGCATAATAGTTTGTTGAGTTTGTTTTTGTGAGATTTCATATTTGGCTCGTTCTGTAAATTATGTTGTTCTAACATGTGATACAACATTTCAAAACAAGCTGGAGTTCTTCTGCCTTTTCCTCTTCTCTTGTTCCTCTTCTCTTCTCTCCTCTGCCTCTCACTCCTTCTCTTCCTGAATATTTTAGTTCAAAGGCTACTAGGTGGGACTGAGCAGAGCAGGTGCTTATGTGTGTGAGTGTGTTGATGGTAAGCCATGGTACTGCAACACCTGGAGTCAGACTCTGAGTAAGGTGAGGACAGTGTTCAAAGAAAAAGGACATCCTCACAAGGGCTTTTGGTCACAAAACAATATTACCCAGAAAATCCATACTGGGCAGAGGAGTTGGTAGAAATGGCAGTGGCTGCTCAGCCCACGGTATTGGAATTAGAGTTGTGGTAGAATGATATCCATATGAGGAAGCTGCAGTCTACCCTGGGATATCATTGAATAAGTGGAGTAAGGAGATTATCATTGGTGGGCTAGTAGCTTATAGTAGGGAGTCATAGCACATGTCAAGGTGATAAGGCATCACATTAATGGGGAGGAGTTCATTATTGGGTTTTGGAGCCCAAGAAGTATGAGGACATGCAAATGTGGAGAAAAATGGGGAAAATTAAAGTAAACCCTGTAGTGTTGGATTCAAGTTGGAGACAACAGTATGATCTCAGAGATTTCAATATATCTATATAAAATTAATATAAATATGAACATGTACATACAGATATGTGTGCATATATATCTCTACCTCCATGTACTACAATATTTCTATGTACAGTGTCATACCAATAGCAATGAGTACATGTAGAACCAAGATATTTGTTTCTTTTCTCTACTATCCACTGAAATGATCTAGGGGTCCTTGGAGATTTCTAGATTGATTCTAGAAGTACAAAATGAGATTGGAGAATTTTCTGTGACAGAAAATTTTTAAAAATGCTCAAAGAACAGTGGGTGCATGTCAAAAGACATAGAAATCAACTTAAAGGGATATTCACTGTGGAATTTGAGCATTTAATAATAATAGTAATGGATTATGACCCATTAAATCATATAGAAATTCATGAGTCTATACTAATATAAATTAATGAGTGAATACATAGAAAATATGATGAGATATTTAATAATATCTCCATCCAAATACTTATTTAGAACAAAAAGAAACGAGGGAGAAAGAATAACTTCAGAATGAATAATCTTAGCATGTGTCATCTTAATCAAGGGCTCAGAATCAATAAACAACGAAATCAATTAAACGCTGTGGCCCTGATAGACTGGAAAGGAGGAATACAGTATCACTTCTTTGTGACTCCTGTGAAAGATGCTTAATCTAAATCTAATTATGATGAAATACCTGAAGATCTCAAATTGAAGGGGATTATACAAAATTACTGGCTTTTAATATTCTCAGATATCAAACTTACAGTTATAAGTTCTGAAGATCTACTGTGCATAATGGTAACTATAGTTAATAACAATATATTGCATGCTTGAAATTTTCTAAGTAGATGTTAAATATTTTCACCACAAAAAAGTAACAATGTGAGTTAATGCATATGTTATTTATCTCAATTGTGTTATTTACTCACAACGTATGTGAATATTAAGACATCAGGCTGCATACTTTTAAAAAACTTTGTCAATTATATACAATTTTTATTTGTGAGGTATACCTTAATAAAATTGACCAAATAAATTACAAAAATAATATTACCATGTATCAAGATCATCAAAAGCAATGAAAGACTAAAGTCCTTTTCCAGGTCAAATAAAACTAAAATGACATAAATAAATGCATATGTTTCATTTTAAACTATATCCTTATCTTTCAATGAATATTATTAATACTGGAATAATTCAAGAAATTTAAATGTGTCTTTGGAGTAGATGGTGATAATACATAAATATAAAATCTCGATCTTTATGTTTTACTTTGGTTTTATGGAACATGATTGTTAATAAGAAACATACACAACGACTTTCACTTGCATGATTGGGCATCATGTCAGTAAGTTACTCTTAAATAATTCAGAAAAAATAAAGTTACATGTGATTTAGGAACTTAAAGAAAAAACATAAAATCATTTGTAATCTACTTGCCATTTTAATAACTTTTAGGTTGTTAAAAAATGAAAAAAGATTCATATTTATGCACAAATTGGCTAATATGTATAAGAATTATGACACAGAAATTTATTTATTTATTTATTTATTTTGCTATAGCAAGACAGGAGAAATTGTCCCTCCAGATTCACTTTACAATATAGTCATGGAAAAACTTTCTTCCAAAACACATGTAAGTGTTTAATTATTGCTTTTTATTGTTATTATTTAATACTTGGTTATACAGAACATAATTCATAACATATTCAAGTTATGGTGGGTATGCCTTCTTATCTTCTAATGTTTACAAAAATTAAAGAATCTTGTAGTGTTAATTCAGACTAGACAAAAACCGTTATTTCAGATTTTAGTCATAACCATGGTATGGCATCAGTGCATTTAATGTCTTGTTAAAATAAAATCAATAAAGGAAAGCATTTTGAAAATTAGACTCTTAATATTTACTTTTTACTTACAGAGAAAGCTTCTGTTATCACTTTAAAGTGAAAACATGAAGGTTAGCAACATATTTTCCATGACCAATAGGCCATAATTCATTAAAACAATCTATCAATAGTTGGTGTAGATTATTAGCAGTATTAATACTACATCATCATTTATCTTGCCTGTACGTTAATTTCAGAAAAAATCATATTTCTAATTTCCCACTCCTCATTAGCAGTAGAAGCAGAACTAATGATAACAATAATAATTTTACTTAGTGATGCAATTTCATGATATAGAGTATGTTCTCATTCATTCTCTCGAATAATCACAACTATCCTACCTGAATCATTCTTATATTCATTTCATATATAAATATATTAATTATCGAAATGTGTGGAAAATGTTATCCAAGGTCTGGCAGCAAAGTTGAGAACCTTGCACTAGACATCTACTTGGACTGTCCTTCAAAAACCATGAATGACTTGAAATTATTACATTGTTTTATTGCTCCCATCTAGCATAGTATTTCTCCCCATGCAACATTGCAAAAAAATGTTTTCATGTCGACGTACTCTTAGGGGCCATTTCTAGTAGTCAATTGGTTATTTGTGCTCTTCCGTTTTGAACTTCTATTGAATTATGGGAGTTGCTCATAAAAATCTTCAGAGAATCTGCCTTAATTGTTCAGCCACCTCTATATGTTTTTATTTTTTATTTTGTTTTTCTTTTTAAAAATTTGAGTAAATTTAAGAGGTAGTAATACAGTTTTCTTAGGTGACTATATTGTGTAGTGGTGAAGTCTAGGCTTTTATTGTATCCATCAGCCGATTAATGTACATTGTATCCAGTAAGTAATTTCTCATCAGCCACCTCCTCTTACCCACTCCACCCTTCCAAGTCTCCAACGCCTATGATTCCACACTCTATGTCTGTATGTACACATTATTTACCTATTGAATGAAAAATGATTATAATTGTTCATTTCACTTTCTATATATTTATATCCTAAAACAATCTTGCCACTTTTCACTAAAGGTAAAGAAGTAGAATATGACATAAAAATTGCAAATAGGTATCTGCTATTGTCTGAATGTTTGTGTCTCTCCAAAATTCCTATGTCGGAACTGAATTCCCAATGCAATAGTATTGAGGTAGGGCATGCAGGAGGTTATTAGGTTATGAGAGTGGAGCCCTTATGATGGAAATAAATACCTTTATAGAAGAGACCCAGAGCTGCTTGATTCCTGTTTCTGCTGTGTGAGGACACAACAAGAAAACACCATCTATGTATGAAGTATGAGCTCTCACCAGACACAAAATCTGCTGGTGCCTTGATTGTAGACTTAAGCTCCAGGACTGTGAAAAATAAATTTCTGTTGTTTATCAGACACTCTGTTTGTGGTGTTTTGTCATAACAGCCTAAATGACCTAAGATAACATGATTCTAAAATATATTTCATGACAGGAAATATTTCAGAGGAACATTATAATGTGTTCTGAGCTGCGGGCATTCATTATACTATAACAACAACCAGGAGGAATTTTAGTGTGTCCTCTAGTAGTTTGTTCAATATACATCTTCATTCTGAGCTCCACATGTAGTCAAAAATAAAACCATAGCTACAGAATATGTTTTCCATCTCTGGATTTAGCTCAAATGCTTAAGATTTATTTATTTTTTATTATTTTCATTTTTTTTTTGAGCAGCAGCAAGACATCGTGAAGAGGGAAAGAACAAAGCTTCCACAGTGTGGAAGGGGACCTGAGCGGGTTGCCGAAGATTGTTTTTATATTTTGACATTCTTTTGCCAAATTACTCTTTCAGCATTTTCAGAAAGTTAAAATATCTTGCACCCAGCGTTTTCAGGATGAGCTTGTTGAAGCTTTTAATAAAATAGCAAATGTAGTTAAAGGAAAAGTGATACTGTGAGTTTTCCACATAAAATAAACAACAAGTAACATAAATTACTTCGCAGAAATTACCTATCAGATGTGTGTCATTAATGTTCTTTGTAATAGCAGAGTAAATCCATATTATAACACAATGACATTGTTCAGAATCGCATCATTTAAATTCTCTATGTATGGAATATAGCAGTCAACATCAGCAGTTATTTTGTTTCACTTTAAGAACAAATTTCTTTTCAAGTAACTAATAAAGGGACATATACATTATATATCAACAATGAATATATGAATTTTGGGTTGAAATTTAGTCTGTGTAAAATATTAACCATTATCCAGAGGAGAAAATTCAAACATATCAAATGTTTAATTTATAGAAAATATGCAGGCATTAACAAAATATTACAATTTACTTTTGATAAAATTTTGTATGTAGTTCTGATTTTTTATTTTTTTGATCATATGAAAATATGAACAGTATACATTCAAGCCATAACAAGTGTGAAACATAAAAGTTGTGCAACACTGACTCAATGCAAAAGCAGGCATCTTGTCCATAAATAATTCAATGAGTAATATACAAATAGAAAATCCAAATGTCATCATTTATTAAGTAAAAATATACACAGACACACCATATATCTATGTGGAGAGACAGAGAGAAAAGAGAGAAAAAGGGAATTACAAGGTAAAATTAGACCACTTATTAGTATTTCTTACCTTTAGAAAATTTAATATAGAGAACTTGAAGGAAACAAATACATAGAAGTTTTCAAATATATGATAGTCAAAGTGTTAATAACAATAAGATTAATAAAACCAAACCAAAACAAAATACTGATATTAATTTACACAAATAGGGGCCTTAAAATTTAACAATTATTTTTGGTGTCCAAATAAACAATCTGTGTGCTAAAAAGAAAACATACATATGGCATTGGATTCTTGTTATAAACAGCAAAGAAGACTTTATTCAAGACTATTGCAGCAGGACTCACAACTATTGCAGAGGAGTGAAGGATGTTACTCAACTCTAAAGGCATCAAGGACAGTTGAAAATGTGTAGCTAAAGAGTAGAGCTAGAGGGTCAGTGGATAGAAAAATTGTTAACAGGAACTTGATTAGATACCAAGACTCTTGCTAAACTGGCTTAACAAGATTCTTGATGAAGGCAGGATGCTACATTACTGGTGGGATTTTAAGTGGATTCTATTTCTGAAGGTTGTCAATACTGTGTACTCTACAACTCAGCAGTTCTATCCCCCAGTATATAACAAAGAAAAATTTTGTCATATGTACTCTATGATACATTTCCAAGAATTTTCACAGCAATGCTTTTCACAGTAACACATTTCAGAAAATAAACATAATTTTCTTCTTTCTCCCATCCTCTTTCTCCCCCCCTCCGTCTCACCTTCTCTCATTCATTTTTTCTTTTTATTTTATTTGATAATGCTTTTGAAACCTCAGAGCCATTATTGTTGTACTAATATTGGCTTCAACAGGGAGACTTTAACACACACACACACACACACACACACACACACACACACACACACACAATGTATATTGACAAGGACTCTCTCCTTGACCAAACTTTAGTCAAGGTCTTGAGAACTTTCTTTTTAATTAGGCCTCAGCATTGTCCTGGAAACCTGGGTCTACAGAGCTCAGTTTTAGCAGAGAATCTTGCTAAGACAATTTATCAAGAATCTCCCACCTTTACTATTTAATCAAATTCATTATCCCTCATTCTTGGTAGTTCAGTTGTCTTTCATTCGTTTAAAGCATCAATTCCCTGCATGATCTGATCATTTCAAACTCTGAAGGGCTTGAAAACAGCAAGCAATTTTTGTAAAAGTGATTTTAAAACCCTCAAAAGTTCCTAGTTTTATTTCTTATAAATGTCAAAACTCCACAAGCTATATGTAGTCTTCACAAAGGAAATAATCCTGCATATTTATGTTACTCTGATGGCAAACATTTCTCATCTCTGTTAGATTTGAGTGAGTAACTGTATCAGCAAACTATGTGTGTTGGTCAAGGGCACATTTATCACTTGATAAATGAATCTCATTGGCCACAGCCAGTTGAAGATCAGCAGTGATAATTCACTTTTAGGTCCTTGAATGGAAGTAGCTACAGTAGCAGAATGAAAACCCACAGTAGGCGCAGAAGAAGGTATCATTATGTTTAATTAGACTATTATGTTAATGTAATATGAATGGAAGTTAAACAGTCATTCAAACAAAACTACAGAACAGTTGTTTCTACAAAGATCCCTAAGTTAAGGCTGCATCTCAGCAGTATTTTTGCAGTAAGTATAATTTCTCTCTGCAGTCGTATTTTGCCCTTTTATGGTAACAGAGATTAAGCAGAAAAGACAATGAGGGACAAAAAGAGGCACCAAATAGTTTAATGATTTACAAGTAACTAGAAGATTAAAAACAACAGATATAAACTTTACAATTAATAAATTTCTTCAAATCTATCATTTAGAGATCCAGAAGACAAATATTTATTTATTTACTTTTTCCTCCTTAAAAATATTTTCTTTTGGGAAAATTCATGATAGAAAGAAAACATTCAACCTTTTTTATCATAGCATAAGAAATATTTTAAACAAAGCTTTAGTTTCTTTATAATTTAACTTTCTAAAATATTACAAAGGGTAACAAATCATACCTTTATACTGCTAAGCTTACAACTGAGCAATATTTAATTTGGTGAATTATTTCACCTGTACAGTAACATCTACTTTATGTAGCTAATTTCTAGAATGTAGACTAAAAATAAATGTATACAAAAATTATTATAACTTATCTTTAAACAGCAAGACATTGAATTGTATAAATCGATATTAGAAAATACAAAGCATAATTGACATGCTAATAATCCTATCATGGATAGTAATTTCTGATAATATCATTAACATAGGAAACTGACAAAATTTCACCATTCAGTCAGCTTCTAAGTTTTAAAACTTGTTTAACTACAAAGCACATGTGTAATTTTTAAAATGTATTGATATCTGTATAATTGCTTTTCTCACCTAGAAACTTGGATGAATAAACAAGAAAGGTAATGTCCAGCAAGCATTTTTTTAAAATTTATGTCATTTATGAGGAAATATGTAATTTCACTTAGCATAAGAAGACATTAGCCTATTGCTGACTAAGCTAAAAAAGCTGGAAAAAGGCTAACCTATTTTTGATTTATAAATCGAGAGAGAAACAGAAAAGATCTTGAGAAAGAAGGAAATATGCATCCAAATCACCTGAAAAGCCTATTAAAGCACAGATTGCTGGACCATCTCAGAGTTTCTTTTTTATTTTTGAGACCAAGTCTCCCTCTGTCGCCCAGGCTGGAGTGCAGCGGCGCAATCTTGGCTCACCGCAACCTCCGCCACCTGAGTTCAAATGATTCTTCTGCCTCAGCCTCCTGAGTAGCTGGGACTACAGGTGCCTGCCACCATATCATAGCTAATTTTTGTATTTTTAGTAGAGACGGGGTTTCACCACGTTGGCCAGGCTGGTCTTGAACTCCTGATCTCAGGAGATCCACCCACCTCGGTTTCCCAAAATGCTGGGATTACAGGTATGAAGTTCATACGAAAGATTCACTTATCCAATTGTTGCTCTTACATTGTTGACTATACAAAAAAATACAGCAACAAAGAAAAGACAAATAACATGTTTGAAACATTTATGATTTTTCTTACTACCATGGGCAAAATGCAAGTCAAAGAGAGAAAAGAGAGGCATTGCAATTTGTTAGAGGGTTGGTGGAGACAATAGAGATAGAGAAAGCAATCAGCCATTCTGACTTTCTGGGGCCACGGTGAATTTTCAGAAGAAAAATATCAGCTTTCATCAACTAATGAAGAGAGTTCATCAATAAACAAGAAAACAATTTTTGTTAAATGATTGGCCCTTTAAGGTCAGGGATTATATTTCATTTGTCCACACGCCTGCAGCATTTAGAAAATTTCATAAAATCACATACACTGACCATGAGTAAAAGATGTTTAAGCCATTTTAATTCAATAGACACATGGTCTTCTCCTCAATACAAATATACACACACAAAAAAACTCATTACAAAGCCCTACACTCCACTTACTGAAAAAAAGCAGAGCAAATTCTATTTCTAAGTTAATTATTTAAACAGAAATAATACTAAATAACTTGTATTTTAAGAGAATACTGGATTATTTTGTAATAGGTTTATTGAGGCCATCAAACTGTACTAATCTTGATAGGTTGGTAGATTTTTCTTTACTGGATATGTATGACTCCAATACTAATTATGCAAAAATGCATTTATACTCCTATGGCAAGAAATTTACTCTCATTCCCATGAATTGGTTCTGATCAGCATTCTTCTATTATGAAATCGAAAACGCTTGAGGTCTCTATGGAAAGTTGTACATAGAGCTGAGAAATCACAACAGAGATGTAACTCATAATCCTTTTTCTTATTTAAATTTAATCACAGACACACACACACACACACACACACACACACACAATTTTCCTTGTTTCCTGGTACAGAGTTCTGAAAACCTATAGAATCTCTTGAATAGTAAGTGTCTTTTCTATTTTATTAACTTTTTTTCCTTACATTGTTACTTTTTTTATTTTTCTGGTAAGAACACCTAAAATCTACTGTCAGCAAATTTCCAGCATACAATACAATATTCTTAACTCTAGTTTTTTGCTGTATGTTAATGTCTTTAGACTTATTTATCCTACCTAACTGCAACTTTGTACACTTTGAGCAATTTCTGTCTATTTTCCCCATCCCTGGTAACCACTGTATATTTTTCCCTGTTTCTATGTATACAACTTTACACGTCTATTCATGTTATTTGCCCACTTTTTGATGCGATTATTTTTTTTCTTACTGATTTGAGTTCCTTGTAGAGATTCTGGGTATAAGTTCTTTTTGGGATGCTTAATTTGCAAATAATTTCTCCCATTCTGTGGTTTGTCTTTTTACTCTGATGATTATTTCTTTTGCTGTGCAGAAGCCTTTAAATTTAATTAGGTTTCATTTATGTATTTTTGTTTTTGTTGCATTTGCTTTTGGAGTCTTAGTCATAAATTCTTTGCCTAGGCCAATGTCGAGAGTGTTTTTTCTAGGTTTTTTTTTAGAAATTCTGAAACAAGACAATGATGCCCACTTTCATCACTTCTATTCAACATAGTACTGGAAATCCTAATTAGCGCAATCAGACAAGAGAAAAAAATAAAAGGCATCCAAACTGAAAAGGTGGAATCAAACTACCTGTGTGCCAATGATATCATTGTATTCCTAGAAACCCTAAAGACTCCCCCAAAGGACTTCTACATATGATAAATCAATTCAGTAAAGTCTCAGGTTACAAAATCAATGCACACAAATCCATAGTGCTGCTATACATCAACACCAACCAAGCTAAGAATCAGATCAATAACGCAATTCAAACTAGGAATATTCTGAACCTAGGAAGTGAAAGATTTCTACAAGAAGAACTACAAAACACTGTTGAAAGAAGTGATAGATGAACAAAAAAAAAATGAAAATAAATCACACACTCCTGGATCAGAAGAATTAGTATAGTAAAAATGACCACCCTGTCCAAAGCATTCTACAGGTTGAATTCAATTCCTATCAAAATGCTAACATCATTTTTCATAGAAAAAGCAATCCTAAAATTCATATATTTTAAAAAGCTTGAATATCCAAAGCAATCTTAAGTAAAAGGAACAAGTATGGAAGTATTGCATTACCTGACTTCAAATTATACTACAAGACTATAGTAACCAAAACAACGTGGTAGTGGTAAAAAAGTAGATACACAGACCAATAGAACAAAGTAGAGTACCCAGAAATAAAGCCAAGTACTTATAACCCACCAATCTTTGACAAGGCATACAAAAAATATAAATTGGGAAAATGACATCCTATTTGATAAGTGGTGCTGGGAAAACTGGATAGGCACATGTAGAATAAAACTGGATCCCTATATCTCACTATATACAAAAATCAACCCAAGATGAATTAGAGACTTTTTTTTTCATCGTAATTAAATGATTGGTGGACGAGGGCTTCTAGTTAGCTTCAGGGTGGGGGGTGGTTACCAGAAAGATTAAAACATGATTAACCGGTTGGAACTTTCAGCTCCATCCCCCTTCCAACCTTCAGGGAATACGGAGGAGCTGGAGATTTTCAATCACCAGTGGCCCATAATTTAATCAGTCATATCTACATAAGGAAACCTCCATAAAAATCCCTAAATGATGGGGTTCTGCAAGCTTCCAGGGTGATGAACACATTGAGGTACAAATATATCCACTATGCACACAACCTCCACACCACACACCCCACACCTCACACACACCACACATCACACACACCACACATACACCACACATACACCTGCCACACCACACACGCCCCCCACCCACCACACAGAAACCACACACAGCTGCTGTGTGTGATAGATTTAGCTGGTGTGCCCAGAGGGGGCATGGAAGCTCCACACTCCTGACTCCATAACTTAGCCTATTCCTCTCTTCCATTTGGCTGCTTTTAGGTGATATTCTTTAATAAAAACAAACAAACAAACAGTCACAGTAAGTAAAACACTTTCCTGAGTTCTGTTAGTCATTCTAGAAAATTATTAAACCTGAGGAGGGAGTTGTGGGAACCCCCAAATTTGTAACCAAGACAGATAGAAATGCAGGTAGCCTGGTGTATTAGTCAGCTCTCATGCTGCTAATAAAGACATACCCAATTCTGGGTAATTTAAAAAGGAAAGAGGTTTAATTGACTCACAGTTCCGCAAGGCTTGGGAGGCCCCAGGAAACTTACAATCATGGCATAAGGAGAAACAAACATGTCCTTCTTCACATGGCAGCAGCAAGAAGTGCAGAGATAAGTGGTGGAGGGAGCCCCTTAAAAATCCATCAGATCTTATGAGAACTCACTCACTATCACGAGAACAACACGGAGGTAACTGCCCCCATTATTCAATTACCTCCTACCAGGTCCCTCCCACGAGAATTATGGGAACTACAGTTCAAGATGAGATTTGGGTGGGGACACACCCAAACCATATCACCTGGTGACACTATTGAGGCTGTTGAAGTAGGAGTAGGTTTCTTGTGGGGCTGATCCCTAAGCCTATGGGGGAGTGCTAACTCTGTACAGCTAGTGTCAGAATTGAATTGAATTGTGGGACACCCATACGGTTTTGAAGAATTACAGAATGAATACTGGAAAATACACCACCATGTATCTAGTGTCAGGCAAATTACCACTTCTGATCACAAGAGGGTAAGAAGAGTGAAGGGGAACTCACATGAAAGATAATATTAATTTATCAAAAATGCTGTGTGGAGTCACAAGTAATATTTTAAATTTATAAACCCTTGTTTCTATTTCAAAATTAAATTTGCAAAATTAACTACATCGACATATAAAAGACCATCAAGGGCTATTTGTTATAATATTTTACAGGTATGCTTGTGCATAATCTCTAGAATCCTAGAATTTCTGCACCTAAATATTTCATTGAGTATTTTAAATTAATAAACCTTTACAAATTTCAGAATATACATCACACAAAATGTTTAAATGATAGATTATTATATTAATAAAATCTCAAATTAATTATAAAAAATGAAATGGGAAATGAGAAGCAATGGGGAAATTAAATGGAGTCAGAATATGCCAAGAAATCAATTTAATTGGATGCATTTCTCTGTAATATCTAAAGAGTCCTACAATAGATTGTAACTAATTACCTCATACCAAGTTATAGTGTTGAATTGTCTTAAGGTAACAGATTAAATCATTTCTCAATGTCACTTTTATCTCAATGGGATTTATTTCTAATATTAGCTCTTATTCATCAAGATAGTTTTTGTTTTGTTTAGTTTTTCTTTGGAGCTTCTAGAGATAAACTACATTTCTTGGCTTGTGGCCATATTTCTCCATTTTTAATTTTTTTTTTAAATTTTACTTTAAGTTCTGGGATACATATGCTGAACGTGCAGGGTTGTCATATAGGTATACATGTGCCATGGTGGTTTGCTGCACCTATTAACCTGTCATCTAGGTTTTAAGCCCCACATGCATTAGGTATTTGTCCTAATGCTCTCCCTCCCCTTTCCCCAAACCCTCCAACACACCCTGGTGGGTGATGTTTCCCTCCCTGTGTCCATGTGTTCTCATTGTTCAACTCCACTTACTAGTGAGAAAATGCAGTGTTTGGTTTTCCATTCCTGTGTTATGTTGCTGAGAATGATGGTTTCCAGCTTCATCCATGTGCCTGCAAAGGACATGAACTCATTATTTTTTATGGCTGCATAGTATTCCATGGTGTATATGTGCCATATTTTCTTAATCCATTCTATCATTGATGGGCATTTGGATTGGTTCCAAGTCTCTGCTATTGTAAATAGTTCTGCAATAAACATACATGTGCATGTGTCTTTACAGTAGAATGATTTATAATCCTTTGGGTATATACCCAGTAATGGGATTGCTGGGTCAAATGGCTATAGATCCTTGAGGAATCATCACACTGTTTCCCACAATGGTTGACCTAATTTACACTCCCACTAACAGTGTAAAAGCGTTCCTATTTCTCCACATCCTCTCCAGCATCTGTTGTTTCCAGACTTTTTAATGATCACCGTTCTAACTGGTGTCAGCAGTGATGATGAGCTTTTTTTCATGTGTTTGTTGGGCACATAAATGTCTTCTTTTGAGAAGATTCTGTTCATATCTTCATCCACTTTTTGATGGGGTTGTTTGTTTCTTTCTTGTAAATTGGTTTAGGTTCCTTGTAGATTCTGGATATTAGACCTTTGTCAGATGGATAGGTTGCAAAAATTTTCTCCCATTCTGAAGGTTGCCTGTTCACTCCGATGATAGTTTCTTTTGTTGAGGAGAAACTCTTTAGTTTAATTAGACCCCATTTGTCAATTTTGGCTTTTGTTACCACTGCTTTTGGTCATTTTAGTAATGAAGTATTTGCCCATGCTTATGTCTTGAATGATATTGCCTGGGTTTTCTTCTAGGGTTTTTATGGTTTTAGGTTTTACGTTTAAGTCTTTGATCCATCTTGAGTTAATTTTCATATAGGGTATGAAGAAGTGGTCCAGTTTCTGTTTTCTGCATATGGCTAGCCAGTTTTCCCAGCACAATTTATTAAATAGGGAATCCTTTCTCCATTGCTTGTTTTTGTCAGGTTTGTTGAAAATCAGATGGTTGTAGATTTATGGTGTTATTTCTGAGCCCTCTGTTCTGTTCCATTGGTCTATATATCTGTTTTCTTTACCAGTATCATGTTGTTTTGGCCCTCTCTCACCACTCCTATTTAACATAGTATTGGAAGTTCTGGCCAGGGCAATCAGGTAAGTGAAAGAAATTAAGGATATTCATATAGGAAGAGAGGATGTCAAATTGTCTCTGTTTGCAGATGACATGATTTTATATTTAGAAAATCCCATTTTCTCAAGCCCCAAAACTCCTTAAGCTGATAACAACTTCGCAAAGTCTCAGGATACAAAATCAATGTGCAAAAATTACATTCATTCCTATACACCAATAATAGACAAGCAGAGAGCCAAATCATGAGTGAACTTCCATTCACAATTGCTACAAAGAAAATAAAATGCCTAGGAATACAGCTTACAAGGGATCTGAAGGACCTCTTCAAGGAGAACTACAAACGACTGCTCAAAGAAATAAGAGAGGACCCAAACATATGGAAAAACATTCCATACTCATGGATAGGAAGAATCAATATCATGAAAATGGCCATACTGCCTGAAGTAATTTATAGATTCAATGCTATTCTCATCAACCTACCAGTGACTTTCTTTGTAGAATTAGAAAAAAACTACTCTAAATTTCATATGGAACCAAAAAAGAGCCCGTATAGCCAAGACAAACCTAAGCAAAAACATCAAAGCTGGTTGCATCATGCTACCTGTTATCTTTCTCCATTTTCAAAGCCAGAAATGTTGCATCTTTCTGGTTTTTGTTTTTTCTTGTTTGTTTGTTTCATCATCTCTCTGTCTCTGTCTCTTTCTCTCAGATCTCTTCAGGAGTTTCTCATAATCCTATGGTAAGAAATAGACTCTCACTTTCATGTAATTTTATTAGGTTTAATGGAGAACAATTTCCTCAGAATACTTAATCATAGCTGCGAGGTACTTTTTGCTAGGTAAGCTACCATAGCCCCAGGTGCATGGATATAAGAATATGAACAGCTTGGAAGGGGGTGGGCATTATTCATTCTGCCTATAAGACAGAGAGAAAGGGAAATGCAGGAGAAGGAGGAAAAGGAAGAAAGAGAAATTTGTTATGAGATTAAAATAAACTTTTTGAAAGAAAAGTCCCCATAAGCACAAATAAACCAATTCATAGATTCATGTACAATTTATTTAGTGACAAAATAATTTATGGAATTATAGCTAAAAAAAACCTTTAACTTAATCTCTTTCTGATTGCAGAAAATATGTAATTATTAAACAGCTATACTTTAGTGGAGAAACTATGTCTTCTATAACTCCTACCATTGATTTAAAGATTTTCAAAAATAACCACATTTAAGTTTAATGTGTCTTTATTAACAAATGAGCATGAAACCAGGGAAGAAATCTAACTTAAATACAGCAATAACTTTTATAATAATTAACAGTTAACAGGTCAAAGAAAAACTTTTAGGGTGCCAAGTCACATATTTATAAAGGAATGAAAGCACTTGAAATTATTGGTTAAGCCTCATTTGCGTTATACTCTATTTTTATATAAATAAATGTAACCAAAATTACTGTTTAAAATAATAAAATTAATATTAAATTGCTTAATATGCTACCATATAACTAGTTTTTATTGGGATCCTTTTTGATGTCCAAGAACATGTTTAGAGAACTCAAAATAGTTAAGACATTATCTGTTAAATACACGAAATACTTGTGTGCCAATCATTTTAATACTATTTGCTTGAGACCTATACATACATGTGATCATCTTTTTCTACCCAGCTTATGCACATAACCATTCCATTAAAATGGCTTATTTTATCTTGAGTTTCTTACATGACTTAGAGAGATGAATACTTGATTAATTTGTAAACAAGAAAACAAAACTTAATACAAATGTTTCTTACATTATAACGTTTAATTAAAAAGTTATATAAATGGCTTTTTACCTACTCTGGACAGCATGATTATTTCTCAGTTACCTAAGACTGTGCTTAACACAAGAGTAAACAATTAGTAAATAATTTTAGAATAAATGTAAAGATAAATATAGAATATTTTCCAATTTACTCACTTGTCAGAATATAATTCTAGGTTATGTAACATATACTTTCACTTCGTTATAAATTATTGTTGCTACAAGACACCATCATTAAATGTCTATAACACTACACAGGTTTCCAAATAAAGGTTTAATAAATTATCACAAATGTTGGTAATTTGTTTTTAATCAATTAAATAATTCCCAGGTCCAGTTTGTTTAAAATATAGTAATTAAAATCTTTATTATGTCATCTTCTCTTCACCACCATTACATAGATATTCTTGCATTGCTTTACTAAGAATATTTGGCCAGTTGGAAACACGAATATTGCTACCCACTACTCTTTACATTTCCCACCATTATTGCTATTTTTTGGGGACAAACAGACATTTTCCCTTTGCTTGAATGATAACTGTTTTGAAAAACATTATTTTCTGAGAGACATTACCTCATCTCAATACTACCCAAAATTTTCATTGTCTTTTTTTCCATTTATACATTTATCAAAAATTACAGACACATGAACTTCCACTACTTTGGAATTTAAATTAGGAAAGGATTACTAATGAGATAATATTAAAGATGGTAAGGGACTACAAATATTACACTGACTTTAGCAAGGCTTTGGCCAAAATTATTTCCCTCAATTCCTTTTGCTTAATCTAAACTGACCGATCAACAGATCAACAGCTGCTTGAACCAGGGACCCAGTTTGCTGTACTTAAAAACTCTCTTGCAATGAACATAACCTCAGTTTCCCAACACCATCAAAGATCCATAAACAATTTCCAAAATAAAATCTAATTTTACCTTTCAAATTCTATCCTATAAAATCTCTAATTTCTTCATCTTTTATGAAGTAGACATCTTGAGCTATTTTCAAGTTGCAGTTTTTAAAATGAAACCTTATGCTAATGACTTCTGTCTTCAAATTTCTTTTACCAAGAACATGAGAATTAAAAAAAAGAATATAAGGAATATACTCTGCTTTTCTCCCGCGAATAATAAAAATAGTTGAAAAAATTGTTTTGCCCTCAGAGAAAATATATCTATTAAACTAGATAAAAACACACACGAATAACTAAAATCTGGTAGATATTTAAAACTGTGAAGTATCCAAGTGTCCCTTTTTGCAAAGTCACAATTACTCTGCCATAATTTCATGGACATTTCTCTGTAAGACTCCAAGGTTAGAAACGAAGAACTTTATTAATCACATAAATAACAGAAGCCAGAATATTGACATTTTCTTATATTATTTCACTGAGACCCAACACCCACAGGGCAAAATAAAGAGTGCTGGTTGATACAATTTTGGGCTTGTTTTGGAAGACAGATATTGAGTGGTAAGCCTCATTTTAGTTGTTCAACTTCATTCAGTGGTGTATTAGTGTAAATGCCACATATGAAGACTTAAATAATTAAATTTTAGAATAAATTGTTGGCAAATTTTGCTTCTTTGGGACATTCTTTTTTCAAGATATTTTTCTCAAATTCTAAAAAAAATTATATTTTACATATAAATATATTTTAATGATATTTCAAATTTCCACATGAAAATAAGAAGAAATTTTGGAAATCGCACATCATGAATCTTGAAAATACATCCAATTAGAGCTTTTTAAGATGATTGGCATGTCAGAAAGAATATAACTATATGTTTTACCTGTAGATCTTCCCTTATTATTTTTTCAGGAGTGTGAGCTAGTTAGTCCTTTTGAGTGGTCTAAAGGTATATTTTTAATGAAATACATAAAACAGAAATGTAAGCACACCCAGGTTTCCTTGTGACTACTTTGTTGTAGTTTAGGTTTTCTTATTTCCAACCGTCTCCCATACCCTCTATTTCCTGGCTAAAATTTAGGTCACATTTTTGTCCTATAATATCTTCATATCTTTTCTCTTTTGTTCGAGTAACTCTTTCCCTCCCTGATATCTCCGTGATAAAGATCTATTTTTTGTCAGTGCTTTGGAGCATAGGTTGCAAGCTTAAATATCTAGAGAGTTTATAATCTGTAGCATTAAAGATAAGAAATCTTTCTTTACTCTGATTTGAAAAAACACAGTAAAATATTCTGTTTATATTTTAAATAGAATAAATTGCTGTAATCATGTCTTAGAAATACCTCTGATAGGGCTCTATCACTGTATACAATAATTGTAGAGTTCAAGTGCCCAACCAGGTAGACTCTTTGTGGACAAAATATTTGTATTCAAAACACAGTGCTTGGGCTGCCTGTTGTAGTGGCAGACACTGCTAAGTTGGCACTCTTAGCTTTTAAAACTCTCTATGACAGACATTTTAGTAATGGAATGCATTTTGGCTTTCTTTTCTTTTTTTCACCTATTGGCTGCTCTGATATATTTCATTAAATATGTTTTCTTCCATTTCAACTATATCTTCACTTATAGTCCTCTGATGAGCTAATGTACTATTATTAGAGTATTTCTGATGCTTTGTTCTACACCAGTGACATACAAAAGAGATCACATCAGATACATGATATATATATAAAATATATCATGAAATATACAAAAATAAAACTGTTGACTTTATCTTCTTCCATCAGACTTTTATTGAAAGATGCAATTAAACATATTTTTAATTTTCAACATGTTTTCTGCTATTTTAATGTAAAACACATAATATACATTTCTTTATATGGCCTATCAAGAAAATGGGCACATAGAATCTTCATAGAAATAATTTAATTCATGTATAAAAAAGTATCTATTCCTTCATGTTAAAGAAATATATATTCCCTACAAAAACAATAATGAATATTTTTCTTTAGTACATAGAGGAACACTTAACACAAGATCTGTGTTTTGGTGAGATCTTAATAAACTTCACTTCTCTCTTTCTGCACATCCTAAAATTGAGCTCATATTCAGCAAAAGAAGAGAACCAATATCTTTTAACCAGTATCCTGCAAATTGCCATCCGTTTTCTGTCATTATCTATCATTTTTTGCACAGTTGGCTACTATCTCTGGCATTGCTATACCCTGAAACTAATTCTAGTTACATTGCTATTCACACAGCTGAATATGAAAAAAAAATACAAATTCATATGGTGTGGTGCAGAGGATTTTGCTTAAAAAAGAGAAGACCTGAGTATAAAACCATGTTTCAACACAGAAATTCTCCATGATTTAAAGCAAATCCTTTAAATTTAAAATTGCATGAACAAATATGGTAAAGAGAAAAATGTTTAGCTTTGATAATTAGGAGTTACATGACCTTAGTAATAATTTAATATCTCCAAATCAACAGCTTTGTTATTCATAAAGTAGAAATATCATTACATATTAATAAGACTTTTGAAAATATGTTGTTGTGTTTATACATATGCAAGCACCTACAACAATTCATGATACATAACATTACTTAACAAATTATAGATTACCTTTATAGTTGGAAGAAGATAATTAAGCATATCACAAACTATATTTGTTTACCAAAGTAGTCACCTTATAATATAATATTTGATGAAAGAAAAGGAGATATTAAAGTATGTAAGAGAGTGTTGAAGGTGGCATTTTCAGTGGTCCCAGAAAGTCAGGTAACATAAAGCCTCAAAGCCAAGCACAAAAAATAAAATAAAAAAAATACCCTGAGGGTTCTAATATTGATGCTAGTAGCATCCTTGGATTCCTTATTATGGGATAGGCCACACAGATGTTTGACTATATATACCCATTACTCATCTCTAATTGCATATAAGCAGCCTAGAAATTTGTATGAAAGAATATTGTTAAGGAAATTGTGGAATTGAGAATAATGTGTCAATATCTTCTATTCTCAATGAGGTACTACCTACTTCTCCAAAGTCACATGAAAGACATGTATAGAATCTTTTGGAAATATTAAAAGGTGCTTACCAAGAAAGAAAACTGTCATCTTGCTCTCAGCTACATCCCTGCTGCACTGCAGAAAATGATAGGTACACTTCATGCTGCTTCTGGAGGCAAGCGTGAAAGTATTCTTGTCAATTCCCCAGGAGTTTGGGATATAGAAACATTTTCTTGACTCTTGCCTTAAGAGCATTAAGGCATGACTCTTAGAATCTCTCTTCTAGATAAAAGGACTTCTAACAGTGTTACAGAAACAAGACAAAATTGTTTTAAGATATTAAGGGTATTTTTCCAGAACACCCTATATTTCAGCTCAATGTATATGAGAAGTACTGTTTCAGAAAGAATCGCAGGTGTGGCTTTTGACTAATGAAGTGAAGTACAACAATACAAGAAGCCCATAGTCTTTTAAAAGGTATGCTATAATCTTGAACTAAAAGTTACAGAGCTAGCATAACATAAAAAGAAGCCTTTGAACCCGGCATGTACTACAATTAGAAGCAGCCCAAATATACTTACCTGGAAACATAGGCTATTTCTTATGAAAATATAAAGGATGACTCATAAAGTAGAAACAAAATTCAGAGACTGCAGCCAAGATCTATACAGATTCTTTCTCTGGGAGGAGGAATAAACCCTAATCAAGGAATTGACAACACATGTTTAGCTGGATTTCAGCATCGCAGTGAATCAATGATTACAATTTGCCTAACATCACCCAGAGCCACTGCTATGTTAAGGGAAGTAACCATTTAAATTATCCTGTGAATGCCTTACTATTGTTTATTGGGTGTACAAGAGGTGTGTAACTTGTTTTTCAGTTCACAAGTTTTTATATTGAGAAAAATCATACATATGGGACCACACTGAAGGAGACTCATCCATACTTGGACCTGATTTAGATGTGATTTCCTGAAATAGGGGAAGATAACATATTAATACGAAACTTTATAGGTCATGGGAGGAGGGTGAAACATGGAAAAAGAATTTGTGACCAGATGGCAGATTATGTCAGATTAAAAATGACCACAAACTCTTTAACATTCTCCAATTGAGATGTGTCTAATTCTCCTCTCCTTCCATCTGTGCTGGCCTATTTCTTACTTACTAGTAGAGTACAGAAGAAATGCTGTGAGAGTTTCTGGCCTAGTATTAAAAAAAAAAAAAAAAGCCAGCTTCTGCATTGTTCTTTATTGGAGCCTTCAGTTCTGTGTAAGGATCTCAAATCCCCATGTAGAAAGGCAAGACTGACAAACTCTGAGACTACATGAACAGGGAGAAGGATCTAGCCAGATCTAGCCTTCTCCCAACCATCTTTGGCAAAGCTTCACACATGGAATTGAAGCCATTATGAATAGTCCAAGTCATTCATCCTTTCAGCTGAATATCAATAAGTTACATTTGTCAATAACAAATGAAACTGAAGAATTGGACAGCTGAGCCCTGAAGTATGCCATTTTCTATGGTTACTCTACAAAATATATTAGAGCTGAAAGATGTATTATCTAAACACGCTGTCTTATAGGTCCTTATGTATATCAAAATGATTAGCACTCTTACATTAACTTCTTTCTTGATGTCCCTTGGTCTCTTCCTAGACTCTAAACCTGTACCCCTACCCCCAAAAATGACAGCTTTAATAATTCACTTTTTACAACCACTTTCTATAAATTGCTTCTTTGGTTTGTGATGGCAAGAATTTAGAACCTGGTATCATCCTGTCAGGTCTAAAACTGTCTTAACTAAGGAGAGTTTCTATTTTACATGCTGACGATAAAGAATATATAACACCTTTCAAGTGAATTTTCTTACACTTATGTCTCTCTCAGAAATTCATGACTTTATTTTCACTTGTTATTTTGTATGTAGCTTCAAATAATCTATAGCACTGAAATTGTATTAGTTTCCTGAGGCTGTTATTAACAATGTACAACAAACTGAGTAATTTAAAACAACAGAAAGTATTATCACACAGTCCTGGAGACTAAAACCATGAGATTAAGGTGTCATCAGGACCTTGCTTCCTATGAAACCTGTACTGATATCTTCCATGCCTCTTCCTAGCTTCTGGCTGTTTGTTGCAATCTGGTGTTTCTTGGATTACAGCTTCATGACTCCAATATCTGCATTCGGGTTTGTGACTTTGTGTGTTGCTTTCTGTTTTCACATGGATATCTTCTTAGGAGGACACAGTCATATTGGGTTAGGCAGCCAGCTTTATCCATTATGACTTAATCTTAATGTAAGTAATTACATCTTCAATGACCCTATTTCCAAGTAAGATCACAAGTTCAGGTATTGGGGATTTAAGATTACAACATATCTTCTTTGAGTAATATATTTCAGAAAAGTTGTCTGCCACTATAAACATGGATCACCTTCAATTTTCAATAACATATTTCTTATTTCTATATCCCTCACCAAAAACATTCTGTTCATAATGATCTATGTATTCTCTAAGGCAACAGAAATTTTCTCTACATCTCTCCTCACTTCTTTCTGAGCCCTCACTGGTATTGTTTTAACATCCATATTTCTACAATCTCTTCAACGCAATCTAAATATTTTCTATCAAATGCTTCAAATTCTTCCAGCCTCTATCATTATTCAATTCTAAAGCCACTTCTCCTTTTGTTCCTTTTTAGGTATTTGTTACAGCAGCACCCCAACATCTCAGGATCAAATCTGTATCAGTTTGGGTTATCCAGGATATATGTGTGTGTGTGTGTGTGTGTGTGTGTGTGTGTGTGTGTGTGTGTGTGTGTATCTCCATCATATTGATTCTGTTTTCTATTCTTTCTCTCTCTCCCTACACATAATCAAGAGAGATATATACATACAGGGAGAAGGAAAGAGAGAGAGATACTTTAAGTAGATGTCCTTTTGTAGTATGGGTGGAACTCATCCAATAAGTTGGCCTTGAGAGAAAAAGCTGAGATTTACTGGAAAATAAATAAACTCTGCTTCAAGACTGTAACATAAAATTCCTGCCTGAGTTTCCATTTTGCTGACTTACACTACAGATTTCAGAATCCAAGCCCTCACAATTATATAAAACAATTCTCAAATAAATCTCTCTCTCATACAGATAACATAAATAAACATAATTAACTAATTGTAATTTTTTAAATTTATTTTTATTTTTTTTTTTTGAGACGGAGTCTTGCTCTGTTGCCAGGCTGGAGTGCAGTGGTGTGATCTCCGCTCACTGCAACCTCTGCCCCCTGGGTTCAAGCAATTCTCTTGCCTCAGCCTCCCGAGTAGCTGAGGCATGCACTACCACACCCAGCTAATTTCTGTATTTTTAGTAGAGATGAAGTTTTACCTTGTTGGCCAGGATGGTCTCATTCTCCTGAACTCGTGATCCGCCTGCCTTGGCCACCCAAAGTGCTGGATTACAGGCGTGAACCACTGCTCCCAGCCCTAATTGCAATTATTAATCACATGTAAAAAATACCTTCAAAGCAACATTTAGACTAATGTTTGACCAAATAACTGGACACCATAGCCTAGCCAAGTTGGCATCTAACATTAGCTATGTTAGGAAGATTCATATATTTATCACCTTCTTTAAGAAGAGGCAGCTGACTACTACCCTAATGCATGTAAAATTGCCTCTGTTTCATATCTCATACCTGAATTATAAATAAATTGATTTCATTATTATCTGCACTCTACAAAGATATTAATTCCTTGAAAGTAAGGGCTTAAAATTGTAATTTTTATATCTTTAGTGCATTATTTGAGGCCAAGCACCTACATAGTCTGCAAGCGTTGATTGAATGAATGACACAATTTTAAAAACACGATATGTTGTTACTGGATGTGCATTAATTTCTTATAAACGAATACAAAATTTGACAATATTTAAAAAGAATAAAAGGATTTGAGTGATTAATATTAAGCATAATTTTCAAGTGGAATAATTACATGTTCAATAATGAAATTTCCAAAATTTAAGAGCCATCCTGAATATGTATGTAATATGTCATTAATAACAATATACCACTTACAGTATTGCAAATTATAAGCATCCCCAGGTGTCATTTATATGACATTGGCAAATTCTACCACATCAGTAAAAACAGATGGTAATTACAGAGTGAATGAAGCAGATTGTTACTATGCCACCATGTAGATTGAACATGTCTGCTGTTTATGAAATTCGTCATCTAATGACTCAGATGAATTGCATTCACACTGGCAATGAGATATTTGAATCAGCATTTTGAAACAATGAGGGTCATACAGTTAGAAATGCTTGATTAGCAGGACAAGGACTCATTTCAGTGGTGTTAGACAAAAACACTTTCAGTGAGCAAGCTTACATGTGGCTAGGCAAAAACTAGGCAAACTTTGCAGAGGTCAAAAACTCAATAACCACAAGTTTTCTTCCACTGTAAGCCAGAATAAAAAGTAATCAGTTTTTCGTATGTGCGTGTGTGTGTGGTACTTTTGTGTGTGTGATTCTCACACCAATTTGTAGAATGGTTCAATTAAAAATACCAAATTATTTATAACTTTATCATAACTATTATGGAAAAGCACACATATATACTTTTAAAAATATCACCTTATCTTTTATATTATTTAAAAATATTAAAGACCAAAACAGTAATTTAAATCCATTGAATTTCATCTGTTCCATCATCCTTTTTATTTCTCAAGTGTTATTAAATATTTCTGTCAGTTATGTTAATAAGATATAATTTTAAAATAAAATTTTGTGTATATTTTGTGATTTTTATTTATATGTATTTAGCATAAATGCACATTCAAAAACAAAATTTTAGAAAGGTAAGATATATACAAATATATGTGATTTGGATACAGAAAATCATGTAGGTGAGTAATGCATATGTATTGCACCAAAGTTTTACAATTCCTTATATCACATTCACTCTTCATCTTTTAATAGCTCTGTTCTTTCCTTTAATGCTATTAGTGAGTAAGAAAAAAACAATAGTTGGGGTATAATTTAGTGGAACATATGTCTGTTTATTGACACACATGAGACAGTTTCAAATGACTAGGATCAGCCCTGTTCCTATTTCTATGCACAATTGTATATTACCACATTTAGCTACATATTAAAAGCTGGAACCTTCAATTCTTGCTTTTTAGTTATACTTTCTCAAATCATGAGGCTTTTTTTTCTTTAAAAAAAAAAAGCTCTATAATTGCATTGTGTTTTATTGTGTAAAATATTCCCCTAAAACACAGCAACAAGTTTAATATAAGAGAAGAATCAGTATTTCTCAAATAATTGCCTTTTAAATTAAGTTCAAGTAAACTGAAATCTCAGCATTTGCATGTAGAATATCAATAATCCAAAATGATCGATCAAGTAATTTTACTGAATTTCTAGTGCTTTCATTTATGAAAAAGAGAATATGTCCTAATTAGTTTCTAATTGATTTAGAGGTCGTATTTGCAAAGCTGTAGAAATCTCAATACTTGTAGGCATAGAAATCTTGAGACCAATATTTCTTTTTTTAACGTTTGCAAAAATTCAGTTCTCCAATAGTACATGCCGCATTTAAACTTGAACAAACAAACCCAATCTTCTGATATTTGATAATAGCGCCTTTTAAAAACCATAATCATTAGTTTTAAAGCTCTTTGGAACATGACGGATTTAAGCACAATATGGATATTTTCTTTTTTTTTTCAAATAGAGATATCCATTTGAAAAGAAGATATTAATTCAGGATAGTAAAGCAGTATCTTCAGCTACAGTTAAGAAAAACATGTATTTATACCTACAATATCTAAGAGTTTCTAAAGGTAATTTTCAAAGTTATTTTCCTCATCTATGTGTTTATAGCACAGTAAAGTTCAGATAACTTCCTACTGAAAAAGTTTAACAGAAAAAGCTAAGGTTAAAATGTAGCTTCAAAAACACCAGGAATACTAAACATAATTGTCTGATTTAAAAAAGCAGCCATAATTGGGGGTCTAAAAACTAGGAGTGGTTGCACAGAATAAATATACAAATCCTTAAAAATACAATCAGAAAACACAAACAGAAATTTGCAAAATAATAAAATAGGATTTTTTTTTTGGCAAGATTAAGAACCAGACATTTCTAGGCAGTAAGTAAAGCATTATATCATTCAGGGATAAATAAAGCCCATAAATCAAATCACTCCCACAGAGGTTATGAACTGAAGGTCTTAAATACCTAAATGTGTCTGCCATGGCACTCTCCTTTCTCATTTGTCAATAGCTTCCACAGTAATCCATGGATATTCAGACTACTGGCTTTCCCTAAGGGTCAATTATTATGAGCATATTATTGCATAATGCACGTGTAAAAAATGTTGTACCTGACTCTCTTCTTATCAATATTCTGATAAATGTTTTGACTTTCAGGGAAAAATTTTAAAAAATGCCTTATATAGCAGTGTTTTTAGCTGTTTTCCAATATAACCAAGCTAAAATGTACATGATTTTTGTAGCATCATCCTTTCAAAGTCATTATGTGTGTAAAGAAAAGAATCAATACTTTTCAAGTATATGTAAAATATATAAGCATGTTCAACTTTATCCAAACATTAAAAATGAGACCTTTTTAATAGATAGACAAAATATATTGGATATATTAAAATTATGAAAACAAAATAACTGTGCTTTTAATTACATCATAATTTTGTTTTATTATTAATAAGGTAATATGGTAAATTCTAAGCAATTGTTCATAAATGATAACAATTTCATCTTCCTATATTGTCCAGCAAATTTTCCCCCTCTAGTGTAAAGTGGTTCAGTGTATCTATGCCTTCTGAATGGACTCTGTCTTTCTTGTTGTGAATCACACTCAGAAGCTATACTGGTATTATAACTCTCGTACATATTAATATTGCCTCATCATTAATCTTCTTGTCTTATCCTTGGCTTGTCACCATTGACTTGCATACTTTGAGGTAGTCTCCAAATAAATCCTGTTTTCATGTTCTAGGTAGATAAGGTCCTCTACCCTAAACCACTTGATAACCTTCATTCTGCTTTAGGCCTGGTGAACCTGATAACATAACCCCTGAGTTACTGTGCTTAGCCTTGAGCTCCCTTTAAATTATCCAACCAATCCTCTCAGAGGAAACCCATCTCTATGATGCCTTAGACCCCAATAGTCTTTTGCCCACAGGTACCCATCTCTCCCTCTTGCTTCCCACATACTCGTTAAGCTCCTTTATCCTAGATATCCCCCACCTCCCTTCCTGTGGGCCTTATGACACAGCCTGTCCTCTTCTCTCAGATATTTGTGTGTAATAAACCTAATCTTTCTGCCATTCTGGCTTGAGTACTTCTCATTATGCTATACTTTACTACGCTGACCTTAACTTACAAACTTCACTTAAAAAGTCACCAGTGAAAAGTTCCAAAGTCCTAGATATCTGGGCACTGGGATTGATGGAATTTTTTGTCCTTGAAATACAGCTTGGAATACAATTTTTACTTTCTTTCCCATTGGCTCATACTATGACTTGAGGGGAAACTAACCTATATTCTGAAAGGTTTCTGAAATTTTCTATTTGGTTGTTACAAGAGTTGCCTAACTTAAGAAAAATAATAAATCAAATTTGGGTGCTGCCAAGCAAAAACCCCAATATATATGCCACTCAACAGTTGAAAAGATAACTGCCATCAGAGGTCAGAAAGCAACAGATTGGTGTTATTGAGGAAGCCCAACGAGAACTTTCCAACAGACTTGCCTTATTTTGCACTAGCAACTTTTTCCCAGCTGGTGAGAAAAGCTGAGATAGACTGCTGAATAATGAGACACATTTAGCCATTGCCCCAATTGACACAGTTAATCACAAGATATGTGAATAAAGTTTTTCCCTCACACCAACCAGGCTGCCTATCCCAGATAGTTGAATGAGGCCACTTGGGACCATCCGGCCCCAGCTGAACCAGCCCACATCAGAAAACAGGCTCTGACAACGTGTGGAGCTATGAGAATCAATTCATAATTTTTTTAAGCCAGCAAAACAAAAATGTAAACCACCTGTGTTTGGCTGGAACCATGTAGAAGCTGGAAATGTGGCAGGAAAATTGTTAGCATATGTTGAAAAACTGATGCTCACTTTATAACAACTGGAGAAGTGGAGAAAAATATGTTTTAACATTTTGGAGAAAGAACAACTATTTGAATAGTGGTAAAACAATTAGCGAAATGGTTTTCTGTGCTATTGTGAGAAATGAAATATATATTTAAATTATTGAACATCTGACTAATGCATCAGGCAGAATGTTTTAATCTAAATGTCAATCAATTGACCCTAGCAACCTGGGATAAGGAGAGAAATGTCTAATAAAGAAATCCTTTAATCTGCAACCAAAATTTAGAGAAAATAGACAAGATCTAGGTCTTTCTGAATAATACTCAAATCCTTAGTCTCTTCTGCACGTAAAGATTCACAAAGTGAAATTATATCTGGTATTAAAAATCAAATCAAGGTTTTTAGCTTTAAGAATCTTATTAAGGGCTTGTAAGAATCCTAAGGGTGTTGCCTCCCATCAGCCTGATATGTAGAGGAAGATAGAGAGATATAATATAGACGTGGCTTTTGGAACATGGAGTGAACTCACAACAGACATATAAGAAACTTATAAAGTTTTAATAAAGTTAGACTGGCAAAAGAACTACCAGCTTAGAGCAAAAAGAAAAAGACAATTTAAAAACTTAATAAAAATCAGGGGAAGCAAAAGGACTTCAGGCTTCCAACTTTCTGCTGTTAAGAAGCAGACTGAGAAATAAAAGATGAACAATTTATTGTGAAAAAGGGATTATATATCAAAGGAAAGAACCTGAATCAAAGAAAATGTAGGTAAGCATGATACACAATGATGAATTTGGAAGCCATTCCCATGGAGCACTAGGTCCAGAAAGAAAAGAATATTTTCTTCTCCCAGGGGGAAGGACTTAGCAATATTTCCCTGCCTGTATTTCAGAATTACCTGGCCCAGTGATCCTTATGTCCTGACCATTTGTCGTTATTGTTATTGTGATTAGCCTATTCCTATTTCAATATTGTACTGTGTAGGTTCGTGGGATGAATTTCTTCACTGTGTAATTCACCATTATCTGTTGAGATACAGCCAGAATTTGCCAAGGTTAGCAAGCTCATGAAGTCATTTCTATTTACTTCTCGTGTGTACACATCTACAAAAGTTTCAAGCTTCTTTTGCAGTAAATTTACTCTTTTCAGAAAGAGACTCAATTTTTGTTTTAATCATCGAAGAAAGTGAATTTGCTTCATTTATGGGAAATAATGGTTCAGTTACTTTTGGTTTATACTAACAAATAACAACTCACTATATGAAACTTTCCTCAAATGGATGATGTTGTCACATCTTGTAATGAGTTCTTCATTCCTGGAAAAGTCCAAGCAGAATCAGGATGACATCCTCAGAAGTATATGTGACAGAGAAAGAAATGGATGGAATACAGACTGATAAATAAAATTCATCCTGACTCCTAAGGATAATATATTGAGAGTGGTTGCCTGGAGAACTGTTAAGAAGCATTGGGAAGCGAAGCTCAAGATATTCATGGTAAAAGTACTGCCACCAATAACCAAGTTTTATTGGGCAAGAAAAATGTACTGAGTGATAACACATTTAAAAGACCTTTAGACACAATTCAAACTCTATCATTGTAATAGGTAGCCTGTTTTATATGCCCTAAAAACATTCAGAATGCTAATTAACCATAAAATTCAACTTTCTTGTTGAATTTTTAAATTCATTTGAATATTGTATTGTAAAGCTTTGGTTATTACATTGAGAGAAAAGAATGAGAATTATACTTAAAACACGTAATGATGTATTGTCCTTTGAAACAAATACAGATAACTTTAGTTTTAAATTCATACCATTTTTAAGTATGTAAGTGTATTGTGAACTGAAAGTGTTGTTTTAGAAGTGCTTGGTTGTGATTTACAAATGTGTTTTACTTTCTCTTTTAAGAAGCAAATTTCATTTGGAATATGAAGCTTTTCAGAGAAAATAAAAACGTGCTAATAGTAATGTTCCTCATGCAATAAATACCTTAAGGGCTTCCTTAGTGGAAAAGGCGGCTGAAAATAATAATTTATCGATTTTCAAGAAAACTTGGTAATTAACCTCCTGGCAGTTTTCTTCAGGCTACCCTGTTAGTCTCAGCACAACAATGGTAACTTAATTCTACAAACAGAAATTAAATAGGCTTTGAAACAAGATCCTCTGAAATAATAAAGTTAGTATTCTACATTTACTAAATGTACCTATTAGGACTGACATGAATTGGAATTTTATTTCCTTTCCCTTATAGTAGGGAAGTTTTTAGTGGAAAATAGAAAAAATTGGTTTCATCTTGCATTGAATGTAGTTATAAGAATATGAATTATTGAAAGAAAATCAAATGTTTTTGTGTACTCTTTCTGGTTTTTAATATATTGCAAATAACAGCGTTTATTTTTAAACATTAAATTGAAAAATCAGGTTTCACAACACTATATAGTATGATTCAAACTTATAAAACAGATATTATAAATAGTATTCAGAAAATTTATTTAAGACTTTTTTTGAGAAAGACATTGCCCTACTAATAAAAGTTATCAAAATTAATATTCATTTAATCCTATGCAGTAAAACATTATTATTCCAATTATGCAAATGAAATGAAGCACAGAGTAATGAGCAAAATTTCCAACATCACTATTTAGATAGAGAAGGAGCTTGAGATTGAAGTCCAGACACGCTAACTTCAGAGCCTAGGTAATTACTATAGGTAGAGGGGCTGTTAACATGTAGAAAGCTATATATCATTGAGTGTATGTGTTTGATTTCCTTATTTAGATTTTCCTACATTTCTAGAACTGCAAGATGCTTCAGATTTATCATGTACATTTCCTACCCCAATACTAGAATCTGGATTCTGGATGTGCTCATTGCTACTGGTGTGGCACTTCTTTCAGGGGCTCTCAGTTAAAAATGCAAACAAGCAAATATGTGTGCCTAATAAACCATGTATATACACATATTCATAAATATTTCTATATGCAACAAGATGTAACTATATTCAGGTAAAATGAGGTCTTACCAATATCTACAACCCTATTCCATTATCAAATAGTATTTCCGAAGTTACTTAGGTCAGCACCTCTTCCCCCAGCCACCTCATCTCAGTGAGATAAATTCATATGTTTATTTGGACTGCATTTAGCTTGTTTTGTGACATTCTGCATGGCCTCCTGGGATCTCAATATCACTTGAATAATTTTATTTGTAATCACTAAGGTTTACATTTTGTGCATTAAAATTCTACAGATTTTAACAAATGCATACTCTTATGTATCCAAAATTTCAGCATCATACACAGAAGTTTCATCACTCTAAAATACTCCCTGTGTTGCAGTTATTAAGCCTCTGCTTTCTTCCCCTACATCCCTGGCAAGCACTGATCTTTTTAATATATCTATAGATTTGCCTTTTTCACAATGTCATGTAATTGGAATTATACCACATGCAGTGTTTTCAGACTGGCTAATTTCAATTAACAGTATGAATTTCATATTCATCCATATGTTTATGTGGCTTAGCAGTTTATTTCTTCTTAATATTAAATAATTTTCCTCGATATGGATGTCCGCCATTTGTTTATCCATTCACCTATTGAGGAACACCTTCGCTGTCTTCTATTGTTGAAGATGATCAATTATACTGAAATGAAATTCACACTTAGGTTTTTGTGTGTGGACATGACTTTTCAAATTAGTTTGGTTTATGTGATAAGACAATGTTTAAATTTTTAAAAATAATGTCAACATTTCTTCCAAATTTTATCATTTTGTTTTCCCTCTAGTAATGAATGAGAGATACTTTTGCTCCATATCCTTACCAACATTTGTTGTTGTGAGATATTTTGGATTTTAGCTATTTTATTAAGTGTGTACTGGTAACTCATTGCTGTTTTACATTGCAGTTTCCTAACGACAAATGATGCCTATCTTTTCCTATATATATGTTCTATTTGCATATTTTCTTTGGTGAAGTTTCTGTTTATATATTCTGTCCCTTTTAATAGTGTTGTTTGCTTTATTCTTGTTGAGTTTTCAACGCCCTTTCTATATTTTGCATGCCAATTCTTTATTAGATATATGTTTTGCAAATATTGTCTTCTGTTCTGTGGTTTCTCTTTTGATTCTAATGATGGTGTCTTTTATAGACCAGAAGTTTTAAATTTTAATAAAGTCAACCTTTAATTTTTCTTTTTGCAGAACACATTTTTGGTGGTATAGCTAAAAACTCATCACTAAACCTAAAGTTGTCTAATATTTCTTCTAAGTTTTCATCTAGAAATTTCATAGCTTTGTGTTTTACATTCAGATCTATTATCAATTTTTAGTTAATTTTTGTGAAAGGGTTAAGGTATCTGCTCATTTCTTTCTAACGGGCAGCCAAGTGTTCAGAATTACTTGTGGAAAAGACTATTCTATCTCTATCTAATTGCTTTTTCTCCTTTGACAAAAATCTATTGACTACATTCATGTGGTTCTATTTCTAGGATCTCTATTCTGTGACTTTACTGATGTGTTTGTTTTCCTTTTTATTTATTTTTAATATCACCGCATCTTGGTAACCTCTAGCTTTATATCAAATTCCAATTGTTCATTACTAATATATCAGGAAACAATTTAACTTTGTATATTAACCATATATCCTGAAACTTTGCTATACCTGCTTATTAATGTCAGGATTTACATATATATATATATATATAGAGAGAGAGAGAGAGAGAGAGAGAGAGAGCGAGAGAGAGAGAGAGAGAGAGAGAGAGCTTGGAGATTTTCTATTTTCCATATAAATAATGATATTGTCTGCAAACAAAGACATTCTTATTTTTTCTCCCCTGTTGGTACACCTTTTATTCCCCCCCCTTTTTTTTCTGTCTTGCTGCACTGGAAAAGATTTCTAATATGATACTGAAAAGAAGTGGTCAGAGAGGATACCTTTATTTGTTCCCAATTGGAGGAGAAGTATGTCTACTTCCTCATTTCATTAAGTCCTTATGATTATTCTGACAAATTAGCACAAATTCAGTAGACCTCTTATTTGTGCACTGTCACAGAAAGAAGGAGAACTCTGTGGTGTTTTTCCTTGCAAAAACACTAATCCTACTGAACCAAAGCCCCGGTCCTATGACTTCATTTAACTCTAAGTACTTCTTCAGTAGCCCTATTTTTAAATACAGTCATGCTGGGTTTAGGGTTTGAATATATGAATCTTGCAAGGATTCCAGCATTCTGTTCATAACACTTATATTATTGATTTTAGATTTTTTATTTTCTTAACTTTTAAGTTCAGGGGTACATGTGCAGGTTTGTTACATAGGTAAACTTGCATCATGATCATGGGGGTCTGTTATACAGATTATTTAATTACCCAGCTATGAAGCCCAGTACCAATTAGTTATTTTTCCTGATCCTCTCCCTCCTCCCACCCTCCATCCTTCTATAGGCCCCTGTGTGAGTTGTTCTCCTCTTTGTGTCCATGTGTTCTCATCATTTAGCTCCCACTTATAAGGGAGAACATGTGGTATTTTGTTTTCTTTTCCTGATTAGGTTGCTAAGGATAATGACCTCTAGCTTCATCCATGTTCCTGCAAAGGTCATAATCTCATTCTTTTTTATGGCTGCATAGTATTCCACGGTGTATATGTATCACATTTTCTTTATCCAGTCTATCATTGATGAGCATTTAGGTTGACTCCACATCTTTGCTACTGTGAATAGTGCTGCAATAAACATATGCATACATGTTTCTTTATAATAGAACAATAATATATGCATGGTTTTTCAGGTGTGTTTTGTGGCCCAGAATATGGTCTATGTGTATAAATGTTTCATGAAATCTTGATAATAATATATATGTGATTGTTATTAAATAAATAATTCTATAAATGTCAAAGAGGTCAAGTTAATTGTAGTGCTACATAGGTCAACTATGTTCTTACTTATTTTGTAACTAAAAGAAGAGGTGTTACTGTCTCCAACTATAATAAAGTATCTGTTGTTTTTTTTTTTTTCTTGGAGTTTCATCAGTTTTTTGTTTCACATATTAGGTAATGGCTTTCTTTGTCCCTGATAATTTTCATTGTTCTAAAGACTTCCCTGTCTGAAATTAATATAATTTATTTAGCTTTCTTCTAGTTGGTGTTAGTATGGTACATTTTTCTTTGTGCTTTTAATTTTACTTATGAATCTCTTTATATGTAAAGAGATGCTCGTACTCAGCACAGTCGGTCTTGTTTTTATCCATTCTAACAATTTCTACCTTTTGTGGTTGTTGTTGAAGCTTGTCCACAGCTGAACAATTTCTATTTTTAATTGGTATATTTAGACCTTTCACATTTAAAGTTATTATTTTCATATAGGTAGATTAATATCTCCCATAATTGCATCTGTTTTCCATTTGTTGCTTTTGATTAGCTTCTCTTTCTACCTTCCCTTGTTTTGAGTGTTTCACATGTTTCAATTTTATATCCTCTCTGAATATCTATTATAATTGTCTTTTTAGATGTTTATGTGTGTGTATGTATGTGTCTGTGGGTGTGTTGTTGTCTTTGATTATAACCTTATACAATAGTTTTTTTTCCTCCAATTTCTTCCTCCAGACCCTTTGATATTGTTGTCATTTATTTCACTTACTCATATGCTATAATTACTCAGTGCATTGTTACTGTTATTATTGTTTTACGCGGTCATTCTTTAGATAATTTAACATTGAGAAAAAGATTTTACCTTATCTTCATTTATTCTTTCTCTGAGTCTCTTTCATTTTCTATGTAGACACAAGTTTGTGACTTATATAATTGACCTGTCTGAAGGACTCCTTTTAACATTTCTTATAGCACAGGTATGTTGTCAATGAATTCTTTCAGTGTCTGTTCTAGAATGCACATATTTATTTTTCGATTTTGAGGGAAATATTCACTGAGATATTATTCTAGGTTATTTACTTTATTTTGTTAACATGAAATATTTGACTACCACTTATTAGTTGCATGGTTTATGTTGAAAAGTCTGCAATTCATACCTTTGTTCCTATATGGTCAAGATGTTTTCTTACGTATTTTCTATATTTTATTTATTATACTTATTTCTACATTCTTCTAAGACTTTTTTTCTTTGTTTCTGGTTTCCTGGAGTTTGAATATAATATTCACACAATTACATTTTTTTTTGTATTTATTCTCTAAGCTCTCAATTTTCTGAATCTCAGTTTGATGTTTGTCACTAATTTTGAATAATTCTTGGCCATTGTTACTTCAAATATTTCTTCTACTCCATTCTCACTTTCTTCTTCTTTTAGTGTTCCAATTATGCCTGTGTCACACCCTTCAAAGTAGTATCACAGTTCTCTTTTTAACATACATTTCTATGTTTGCAATTCAGACTGAGAATTTTTTTAATCAGCTTATCTTTAAGCTCACAGATTTTTTTTGGTTGTGTCCAATCTATTAATAAGACCATCAACAGTATTCTTCATTTATGTTACCATGTATTTTATTTTTATCATAACCACCTGGTTTTTAAAAGTTTCTTAGAAGCATAATTGATATACAAAGAACTACACATATTTAATGTGTTAATTTTGATGATGCATGCATGAAAATTGTGATGACATATGTGTTCATTTTTGGACATATGTAAATACCCATAAAGTTATCTCTACAATTATGGTAATAGACATATACAAAACCTCCCAGAGTTTTCCTGTGGCCCTTTTTGTTGATGTAGTTGATTGTTGAATTTTGCTTTTTTTTGTTTTGCTCTAAGAATACTTAACATAAAATCTATCCTCTTAACAAATTTAGAAGCATATAATATAGTATTGTTAACTAAAGGGACTGTACAGCAGGTCTTTGGAACTTATTCACTTAGCATAACTGAAACATTATCTTTTTTGAAGAATTCTTTATTTCTCCCATTTTTCAGGCCCTAGCAGCCCCCATTTTCTCTGTTATTAAGAGTTTGACTATTAAAGATACCTCAAATAAGTGGAATCATGCACAATTTGTCCTTCTCTGGCTGACTTATTTCACTTTCCATAATGTCCTCCAGTTTCATCCACGTTGTTGCAAATGGCAGGGATTTTTTTTTTTTTTTTAAGGCTCAATAATATATAATTGTTTATTTATACTATGTTTTCTAGATCCAGGCACCTGTTTATATACAACTTAGATTGTTTCCATATCTTAGCTATTGTGAATAAGACTGCAATGAACACGGGAGTAAAAATAACTCTTTGTCATACTGATTTCATGTTTTTTGGACACATAACTGGAACTGGGATTTCTGATCATATGGTAATTCTATTTTTAATTTTTGAGAGACTTCCAAAGTGTTTTCTGTAGTGGCTACAGCATTTTACATTCTCACCAACAGTGTACAAGGGTTCTAATTTCTACACATCCCCACTGACACTCTTATGTTCCTTTCTGCTTATGTTATTCATCTGATTTTGCATTTTATCTACTTTGTCCATTAGAGCCCTTCACATACTAATTATAGTTATTTTAAATTTCCTGTCTGATAACTGCAACATCTGTGCCAAGTCTGAGTCTGGTTCTAAGGGGTGCTTTGCCTCTTCAGACAGTGTTTTATGTGCATTTTAGCAAGCCTTGTAATTTTTTATTGAAAGCCAGACATGAAGTGTCTGGAAATATAAACTATGGTAAATTTGTTTTTACCATAAGGTATCTATTTTATCTGACTAGGAATTGGGCTGAATTTAATGTTTGTAGCTGTGGGTGCCTGATGCCCTCAAATTTTTCTGATGTCTGGTTTTTGTCTCCCCTGTATCTTATGTTTTCCCTAAAATCTCCTCTTCAGGTAGGATGTGTATCTCGCAACTCTTTCAGCTTCAACACACTGCTATACTGGAGCTCCATTTGTGCGGTACTAAGGTGTGGGGGAGGGAAGACAGTCTGTAATCTTATGTCTCTTATCATTCTCTTAATGGTCCTGTCTTCCCGAGGCTGTGACATTCACAGTGCTTCTCAGCCTTCCCTTATTCCTTAGGTGAAACAGGAAAATATTATGGAGAAGACTCTAGGAATACTTCCTTTACAATGGTTATCCTTTGCTAACCCTGTTAGAACCATGATGGGATCCTCCTTGGCTCTTCACCTGTAGAACATCATGATTTTCAAATGTAAAGCCCATGTAAGTATGCATGCCTCGGCAGCACCTAGCTCTTGTATTAGCCCACATTCATCTTTCAGCAATTCAACAAAATCACTGTTTAAATGCTTCTACAGGCTAGGACCCAATTGATTATGACTCCAACAGCTGCTTCTTTGGGTGAGCCTATTCCACCTGTGACTCTCTACATTCACCTGTATCTCCAGATACTGCAATGGTGGTTTCACAGTGACTTTACTCCTCTGACGGGCCCAAAGAAAATCATTAATTTTCCGTTTGCACAATGTCTTTTTTCTTGTTGTCCTAAGGACATGAGTAACAACTTCCAAGCTCTTTATATATCAAGATGAAACCTGATTCATTTTTGTTTAATTTAGAAAAAAAAAAGAAGAAATAGAATACAACAAATATTTCAATTATTTGCTCTCTTATTCCATGGACAAGAAGTATTAATGTTTATCAAACTTTGACCAAGTTGAGGTCTAAGAAGTATAAGGTTTCTATGATGACCTACTCACCAAATTTACTGACTTCTTTCTTCTTTCAAATAGATTAAGAATTTCTAAATTGCTATAAATGTAAACCCTCTATATATTTGTATAAAATACACATACACATACTCCTTGTGAACTTGATTTACCCATTGTCCTCAGGTTTATTCAACAGTAAAGGAAAAAATGAAGACTTGACTCCCACTTTGGAAAAAATGTTGAATCCAGTTTTTCTACATTCCATTCTTAAATCATACATGGTCTGTTTAAAATGATAGCATCATTGACTTCAGAACAGAAATCGTTTTCATGCAGAAAAAATTATGACTAAAGAGTTCTGCTTTTCAAATATGTTTGGATATGTGTATATACATACAATGAGATATGCTCTATTTATTTGCCTCAACTCTGAATGTTTAAAACTATAATAATCATGAACTTAAATATATTCTATCTCACTAAACTTTACCTCTTCCATTTTGGGGCAGAAACATTTTATCTTCTGAACATGAAGGCTTAATTTCCACTGACATACATTTTAAATTTTTACAACTAACTACTTCAAATTTAGCACTAGCAAAACAGTATGAAGAGTTTGGAATATTCTATACAAAAAAAGAAAAAAGCATTGAGTAATTAATAAAATAGAAACATGGATAAAATGACCAATGAATTTTAAGAACCTCACATAAAGATATAATAGAAAAATAGAAATTCAGAAAATGATATCTTCTACCTCATTTGATCCTTCATCCCAAGCCATTCAAAATACCAAGTTATGACAACAGACACAATTTTCTTCTATTTATGTATTTTTAATTGGTTTTAAGATATTACAATTTAGTAGACATTAATAATGAAACAGTCATATTTTTAAATATACTGTATACAATTACAAGAATACAGTGACTATAAAGGTGTGTCAATAATATGAAATAACAATTGATTCTCTAAATGAAGAAGGCAACTTTTTTTTTAATTCCTTCTAAGATTTGAGGCAAAGACTTAGGCAAAGTGAAAGTCAGGGACATTTGTGTTAGATGTGGTTTAAATAAAACTTTAGAAATGGATGAGTTTATAGGATTAATGAGAACGTATGTGCCTTGAATCTTTAATCTGCTCCCTGTTACTTCCAACAGAGCTTCAAAGACATAATTTAATCCAAAGAGAGACCATTATCATTCATATTTTACAAATCTTTATGAGCTTAAGGCTATCATTGCTTTCCTCATAATAGTAATCAGCCATTCAAAATAAAACAATAACCCACTTTGTGCCACTTTGAAAATAAATGTAATACAAATATCTGAATAACATTTTTACATAAAATAGGTTTGGATTCTACCTAGGTGGTTTTTCATGGTTAGATACAGCTATGAATTAGAGAAACTTTTCCTAAAATATATGGCGAAGCATAAAAAGTAATCTATTCTGAGATTGACAAGTTACCTAGAATTAAATGGGATTGCAGTTAAAAATAAGCTCTTCTATGTCTCTGCCACTTTAATACTATTTCCATTCCTATGTTCCCCTTTTATAAATATATATGTGCATGCTGTATATACGACAGGAACTTGACATTTTATAGTAGCAAGAAGACAAAAGCTATATTACCTTCTTACTGTGTTATTTTTTCAATCTGTTCAGCGATGTTTTATTTTCAGTCATAACTAGAATGTAAGTATGTTTGAGTAAAGATATTACCTTTCTTCTTTTAGGTGCTACTTCTATTTGCCCATGGCTTGACATTCATCTTTGGATATCATGGAGTCAGTGTAAACCACATTAAAGATGACATTTTGCACTGTCAGACATTTCCACAGGTCTAAGAGTCAAATATAAATTTATTTACTATGTTTCTTTTTTTCCTGATGACTTCAGTATATGTATTCCAAGCCTATGCATATAGCTTATTTATAGGCAGACTGTGCAATTTCATTTACATTCTTATTGAGTTCAGACAGAAAATGCCAGGTATGCACCAAAATATATTTACAGCTCTCTATTTTATTGTCAGTGCAAAGATTTACAAACATATCTCCTCACAAATATGCACATGCATAACTTCATGCCCTCCATTGCAGGGAAATAAGTTAGGTATTAGTAATGCTTACAGCAGTCCTTGTGCAATATGATTTTCCCCTCCAGTGTGCTATCATTTTCCTACATGAAAGATATCCAAAAATGAACAAAGCCATTTTCCCAAAGGGATACTGAGTGTAAAAATTATATGCTTCAGCTCCTTGCATAAGCTTACCCGTATATGGCCTCAGTCCATATTTTAAACCAACAGGTATCTATCCAGCATTTACTTAATGCAAATCTTTATGATATTAAGAATTTGTGGTAGTCGGTGGTTGAAAATTAAAAGCAACCTTGTCTTGCCCATAAGTATCACTTAATCCAATTGAAAACTGATATATGAACTATTACATTGATTATAGGAAGATATAATTTAAATAATGTAGATTTAAATGGTACTTGGTAAGAGTACAAAAGAATCCAACAATTCATTTTGGCAAAGGAATATCAAACAAGTAAGACATTAAGTAGTTGACTCTTAATCTTGGCTTTTAGGGACATAGATAGAATTTAAGGATGTAGAGAAGTAGCACAACAGGCCAAGGCTGAAACTTTAAAAATGGTGGCATTAAGCTGTGTTATGATGTATGCTGATTGTGAAAGTAGCATGGATTGTCAGCAGTGACTATCTGTGAAATACATGAGATTTTTGTGTTATAGCAGTGAATAGGCAAATAAGAAAGAATTATATCAGCCTGCATCAAATGTATTTAATGTGAGCAGAAATCTACTTTGGGCTCACCTCACCAAAATATACACAGCCACTAACAGGAAGGTAAAATACTAAACACGTAAACTGTGCAAAGCCAAAATATTGAATTCATGCTATAAACACATATACATCACAGATGCACACACACACAAACACACAGCTGTTTTTCCCTGTTCGTCATTTTCCAATTACTAAATTAAATTGTATAGATTCATTATCTCATAGAATCCTCTTTAGAATTCCAGGTGGTCAATATTTACATTGGCATTTAATTTTCAAGTTATTTCGGGCACAATAAGTTTAGGTAAATTACCCAAAGTGTGTAACAATTGGTAGAATCAAGATTTATATCCCCATATGAGTTAAGAACCAATATTCTGTTTGCATTAAATCATATCTCCAACATGTCTAAGATTAAAACAAAACAAGAGGTTCTCTGGAATTTAAACCCAAACAACAGCTCACTGACTTGATTTCATACACTTTTGATTTAGTTTTTCCTTTGCTTCATTTATAGTTAATATGGTAGTCTCTAGAATTAACATGTCTCTATCTGTACCCTCTACTGGCTATATGAGTTTAGAAAAAACTTTTTAAACTTTGTGGAACATTTTATTCATAAGTAAAACGGGGGATATACCATGTTGTTGTCCTAGGGTTTCTGTAAGATGTTACTTTTAATGTGCTTAAAATATTTCTTGACATGTAGTAGGTGCTTCAGAAATGTTAGATACATTGTTACAATTGTTTATTATTATTATTATATAATCTTAGCTTTTATTTTAGATACAGAGGGTACACGTGTAGAATTGTTACATGGGTATATTGGACTCAAGTAGTGAGCATAGTGCCCAATAGGTAGTTTTTCAAGCTGTGTCTCCCCTTCCAGCCTATTCACCTCTAGTAGTCCACAGCGTCTACTGTTCTCATGTTTATGCCCACGTTTACAGCTCCCACTTATAAGTGAGAATATGCAGTACTTGGTTTTCTGCTCTTGCATGAATTCACTTAGTATTATGGCCTCCAGCAGCATCCATGTTGCTGCAAAGGGCATTATTCCATTCTTTTTTGTGGCTGCATAGTATTCCATGTTGTGTATGTACAACATTTTCTTTACCCAATCCACGGTTGATGAACCTTAATCAATTCCGTGTCTTTGCTAATATAAATAGCACAGTGATGAACATACAAGTGCGTGGGTCTTTTTAGTATAATGATCCATATTCCTTTGGGTATATCCCCAGTAATGGAATTGCTGGTTCAAATGGTAGCTCTGTTTTAAGTTCTTTAAGAAATCATCAAACTCCTTTCCACAATGGCTGAACTAATTTACAGTCCTACCAACATGATATAAGCATTCTTTTTTCTCCACAGTCTTGTGAGCAATTTTTTTCCTTTTTTTTATTTACTATACTTTAAGTTCTAGGGTACATGTGCACAACGTGCAGGTTTGTTACATATGTACACATGTGCCATGCTGGTGTGCTGCACCCATTAACTTGTCATTTACATTAGGTATTTCTCCTAATGCTAAGCCATTCTGACTGGAGTAGGAGAATTTCTCATCATGGTTTTGATGCGCATTTCTCTGATGATTAGTGATTTGGAGCATTTTTTTTATATGTTTGTTGGCTGCTTGTATGTCTTCTTTTGAGAAGTGTCGGTTCATGTCTTTTGCCTAGTTTTTAACGGGGTTGTCTTTTTGCTGATTGATTTGTTTAAGATTCTTACAGATTATGAATATTAGACCTTTCTCAGAGACATAGTTTGTGAATATTTTCTCCAATTATGTAGATTGTCTGTTAACCTGTATATGCTTTCTTTTGCTTTGCAGAAGCTCTTTAGTTTAATTAAGGCCCGCTTTTCAATTTTTGTTTTTGTTGCAATTGTTTTTGGGGACTTTGTTATAAATTCCTTGCCAAGGTCAGTATAAAGAAGGTTACTTCCTAGGTTTTCTTCTAGGGTTTTTATCATTTGAAGTCTTACATTTAAATATGTGACCCATCTTGAGTTTATTTTTGCATATGATGAAAGGTAAGGATCTAATCTCATTTGTCTGCACATGCTAGCCAGTCATGCCAGCACCATTTATTGAGTAAGGATTTATCTCCCCCTTGCTTTTGTCAACATTGTCAAAGACCCGATGGTTGTACATGTATGGCTTTGTTTCTGAGTTTTCCATTCTTTTCCATTTATCTATGTGTGTTTTTATACCAGTACCAACTTATTTTGGTTACTGTAGCCAAATAGTATAGTTTTAATTCAGGTAGTGGGATGCTTCCAGCTTTGTTCTCGTTGCTTAGGATTGTTTTGGCTATTTGGACTCTTATTCCTTCCATATAAATTTTTGAATAGTATTTTTTATCTAATTCTGTGAGGAAGGACACTGGTAGTTTGATAAAATAGCAATTAATGTGTAAAGTGCTTTGGGCATTATGGCCATTTTAATAATATTGATTCTTCCTATCTATGAGCATGGGATATTTTTCCATTTATTTGTATCATCTCTGATTTATTTCAGCAGTGTTTTATAATTCTCCTTATAGAGATCTTTTACTACCTTGGTTAGATGTATTCTTAAGTATTCCATTTTTTGTGTGGCTATTGTAAATGGGATTGTGCCGTCAATTTGACTCTCAGCCTGTATATTATTAGTGCCTAGAAGTGCTGTTGATTTATGTACATTGATTTTATGTCCAGAAAACATGCTTAAATAATTTATCAGTTCTAGCAGCCTTTGGTAGAGTCTTGGGGTTTCTCTAGGTACAGAATCATATAGTCAGTGACTATATGATTTTTCTTTGACTTTTTTTTTTTTTTACTGTTTAGATCTATTTTATTTCTTTTTCTTGCCTGATTGCTCTGGCTAGAACTTCTAGTGCTATGTTGAATAGCCTTGTTCTGAGTTCTCAAGGGGAATACTTCCAGCTTTTGCTCATTCAATAAGATGTTGGCTGTGGGTTTGTCATAGATGACTCTTATTTTGAGGTATGTTCCTTCAATACCTAGTCTGTTGAGGGTTCTTATGATGAAGGGGTGTTGAATTTTATCAAAAGCTTTTTCTCTGTCTATTGAGATGATCATTTTTTTTGCTTTTAATTCTGTTTATGTGTGATAAATCACATTTATTTATTTGCATATGTTGTACCAAGCTTGCGTCCCAGGAATAAAGCCTGTTTGATACTGGTGAATTCACTTTTTGATGTGCTGCTAAATTTAGTTTCTAGTATTTTGATTAGGATTTTTGCATCTGTGTTCATCAAAAATATTGGCCGAAATTTTCTTTTTTTCACTGTGTTTCTGCCAGGTTTTGGTGGTAGGCTGATGAATTAGAATGAATTACTGAGGAGTATTTTCTCCTTGATTTTCTGAAATAGTTTCAGTAAGATTTGTACCAGTCCTTCATGGTATATCTGGTAGAATTCTGCTGTGACTCCACTGGGTCCAGGAATTTATTTGGTTGGTAGGCTTTTTATTACTGATTCAATATCAGAACTTAGTATTAGTCTATGCAGAATTGCAATCTCTTCCTGAGTCAATCTTGGGAGATTTACGTTTCCAGGAATTTATTAATTTCTTCCAGATTTTATAATGAGTGTGCAGAGAATTTTTCTTAGTATTCCCTGATGGTCTTTTGTATTTCTGTGGGATAAGTTGTAATTTCATCTTTGTCATTTCTGACTGTACTTATTCGAATCTTCTCTTTTTTGTCTTTCTTATTCCAGCTAGTCATCTATGAAACTTATTTATTTTTTTTCAAAGAACCAACTCTTGGTTTCATTGATCTTTTATATGGATTTTCAATCTCAATTGTATTGAGTTACTGTCTAATTTTAGTTATGTCTTCTCTGCTGTTAGCTTTGAGTTTAGGTTGTTCTTCTTAGGTTCCTGGTTTTTTAGGTGCAAAGTTAGATTGTTAATTTGTGAGTTAATTTATTTGAAGCAAATTTGTAACTTCTTAATGAGGTATTTTAGAGCTATAAAATTTCCTCTCAACACTGCTTTGGCTATAACCCAGGGATTTTGGCAAATTGTTCCTATTTTCATTAATTTAAAAAATTTTTGATGTTCACCCAGGAGTTATTCAGGAGCAAGTTGTTTAATTTCCATGTCTTTCTGTAGTATGGAGAGATCTTCTTGATATTAATTTCTATTTTTATTATACTGTGGTCTGAGAATGTGCTTGATATAATTTTGATTTTTAAAAATTTATTAAGACTTGCTTTATGACCTAGCATGCAATTGATTGTAGAATATTTTCCACTTGCAGATAAGAAGAATGCATATTCTGTGGTTGTTGGGTGGATTTTTCTGTAGATGTCTATTAGGCCCAATGGTCAAGTATTAAGTTTAAGTAGAGAGTTATTGCTAGGTGTCTACCTCAATGATCTATATAACATAGTCAGTGAGGGGTTGATTCCTCCCACTGTTATTGTGTGGTTGTCTCAGTCTTTTCACAGGCCAAGAAGAACATTTTTTATGAATCCAGGTGCTCCAATGTTGGGTGCACATATACGTAGGATAGCTAAGGCTTCTAAAGCCTTTGTTAGATTGTACCCTTTATTATTATGTAATGTGCTTTATTTTGTTTCTTAATTTTTTTTTTTTTTTTGAGATGGAGTCTAGCTCTGTCACCCAGGCTGGAGTGCAGTGGTGCAATCTCGGCTCACTGCAAGCTCCATCTCCCAGCTTCACATCATTCTCTTGCCTCAGCCTCCTGAGTAGCTGGGACTACAGGCACCTGCCACCACACCTGGCTATTTTTTTGTATTTTTAGTAGAGACGGGGTTTCACTGTGTTAGCCAGGATGGTCTCAATCTCCTGACCTCGTGATCTGCCTGCCTCGGCCGCCCAAAGTGCTGGGATTGCAGGTGTGAGCCACTGTGCCCGGGCTTGCTTCTTAATTTTATTGGTTAAAATCTGTTTTAGTTGAAATAAGAATAGCTACTTCTGTACTTTTTTGTTCCATTTGCATGATAGAACTTTCTCCATTCTTTCACTTTGAGCCTGTGGGTGATGTTACATGTGAGATCGGTCTCTTGAAGACAGCAGATGGTTGGGTCTTGTTTTTTTATATATTCAGCCACTCTATATCTTCTAAGTGGGGCATTTAGCCCATTTATATTCAGTGTTAGTATTGATATGTGTGATTTTGATCCTGTCATCTTGTTGTTAGTTGGTTGTTATGTGGACTTGATTGCCTGTGGGCTAGGTGCTGAAGTGTGTTTTTGTGGTATCAAGTATTTTTCGTTTGTTTCAATTTTTAGCATTCCTCTTGAAAGGCTTATCTAGATGAAACATATTCCCTCAGCATTTGCTATCTGATAATTTCATTTCTCCTTCACTTATAAAGCTTAATTCAGAGGGACAGGAAACTCTCAGTTGGGATTTTATTTCTTTAGGGATGCTGAAAATAGGACCCCCAATCCCTTTGGGTTTATAAGTTTTCTGCTGAGAAGTCTTCTGCTATCTTGATAGGATTCCCTCTGTACATGACGATTTTTGCTAGCTGCCTTGAGGAATGTTTTCTTTTGCATTGATCTTGGTGAATCTGATGACTATGTGTCCTGGGAATGGTTATTTTGTATAGTATCTAACCAGGGTTCTCTGCATTTCTGGGATTTGCATGTCAATCTCTCTAGCAAGATTATGGAAATTTTATTGGATTATATTCTCAAATATATTTTCGAGTTGCTTATTCTCTTTCTCTCTCAGGAATGCCAATGACTCATAGATTTTTTTTTTCTTTTTAGGTAATTCCAGATTTCTCAGAGCTTTTATTCATTTTTCTTATTTTTTTAACACTTTTGTCTGAATGGGTTGCTTCAAAGAACCAGCCTACAGGCTCTGAGATTCTTATTTCAGCTTGGCCTACTCTGCTGTTCATGCTTCTGATTGTATTATGAAATGCTTGTAGTGAGTTTTTCAGCTCTAGAAGTACAGTTTGTTTCTTTATTAAAATGACTATTTCTTTCCATTGTTGGATTATTTTACTGGATTTTTTTGGGCTGGGGGAATTGAGTTTCAACTTTCTCCTTAATCTCCATGAATTTCCTTGCCGTCCAGATTCTGAATTCTATGTCTGTCACTTCAGTCATTTCAGACTGATTAAGAGCAATTGCTGGAGAGCTAATGGAGTTGTTTGGAGGTAAGGGGTCATTCTGGCTTTTTGGACTTTTAGAGTTTCTTATTCTTTTTCATCTGGGAGAGTTGTTGTTTCTTTAACTGTGAGTATAATTTGAGTATAATTAGTTGGTTTTATTTATGGATGCTTTCAGAGGGCCAGGACTTTGCATGGGATCTTTATGTGTGGATGAAGTCTTGTGCTTGGTTTCACAAGTGTGTACATTGGCAGAATAATTTTTGGTGCTGTAATTTGGGCTGTGATTCAATAGATGGTGCTGAAGAGTAGTGGCTAGTAGCTAAGTTAATACCCAGGCTTGTGGCTGTTTCATACTTTGGGGGAGATGGCCCCCTCAACAGATCCACTCCTGGGCCTTGAGGGAGCCCCTCTGATCACCAGTGCTGCACCCACTTTTTTTTGTTAGGTATTACAGGATTCGGGATCCCCTTTGGGCAGGGATATACAGCACTTTCTTTGGACCAGCCCTGTGGAGAGAAGCATGCTCCACTCCTTCCCCAGCCTAGGAACCCATGTGTCTCATCACTCTCAGTACACTGTGTGAGGACTCCTCCCCCATTCAAGTGCCAGTCACAGATCTTGGCTCCATACTCCCGAGCTGCCTGCCACAGGTCTGGAGGCACCAGGACATCTTGTGGCTCAGGTTCAGTTTCTGGCTGTGCTGGGAGGTCTGATGTGTGCCTGGGTTCCCAGGGAAGTACATATGTGAATCAACTGACTGAGGCTTGGCTGCCTGCAGGGGCTGCAGCTGTGCAACCCACTCCTGCAGGGCAGGTAGGCATCGCTCCTGGGAATGGCTGGCAGGCAGGAGGTCTTGCAAGGCAGTCATGCCCAAGTCCCATGGGGAAGCTTGCCCTGCTCTCTCTGGGCTCAGAGGTCAGCTGGGGCCCACACCTCCCAGAGGAGGATGGGTAAACCTGGGGGACGGGCATCTATGGCCACTGTCCACTGGAGCTGCCCTTTGCACAAAAGCTCCGCGGCTCTGTGCCATCCAAAGGCCTATCTCTGCCTGCTCCATGGGAGATCTTCCTAACAACTCACACATCAACAGGTGACACAGGGTCCCCTGTTGCTAAAATCTCAGAAGTCTATTGTGAGAATGAGATGTCCCTCAGTTAACTCACTCACCCCTTTCCCAGGAGCTGTCAGGGGCTGGGAGCTAGCCCTGGCATATGGGTAATCCATGCAGGGCTTCTTCCTCTTTAGCCTGGGCTTCAGCATTGCCTCTTCATCTGCTCTCAGTTTTCTATATGAAGATCTGCCCAAATTATGGTGGTTTAAACCATAATTTGGTCTCTTTCCATGGGAGCGGCACATCCTGACTGCATCTACTTGGCAATCTTTTCCCTTTTTTGCCTATTATTATTATTGAAAAGTATTAACTTAAATTTAAATATGTTAATATATTTCTTGATCAGGTGACATTTTGTAAATATAATTAGGCTTATATAAAAAATGGTAAAATAATACTGAAAAAGCTGATCTGGAAAGTTTATGAAGCATCTCTTATTCTTTTTTCTGAGAAATTATTATTAATGATAAAACATATAGACATCACAAATGGATACCCATAAGCACTAGCTCCCCTCTAATTTTTGAAGGACAGACCAAATTTCTCTTAGGAAAGGTACACTGATGTAACATTCTCATCTGTAAACTTACACAATTCTAGCCAGTCTTCTAAACATCAAACTATCTCTACCTCAATCCATCTGCAACAAAAATAATTTTCTCGCCCATGCCTATGTCTTGAATGGTAATGCCTAGGTTTTCTTCTAGGGTTTTTATGGTTTTAGGTCTAACGTTTAAGTCTTTAATCCATCTTGAATTGATTTTTGTATATGGTGTAAGGAAGGGATCCAATTTCAGCTTTCTACATATGGCTAGCCAGTTTTCCCAGCACCATTTATTAAATAGGGAATCCTTTCCCCATTGCTTGTTTTTCTCAAGTTTGTCAAAGATCAGATAGTTGTAGATATGCAGAGTTATTTCTGAGGGCTCTGTTCTGTTCCATTGATCTATATCTCTGTTTTGGTACCAGTACCATGCTTCATGTCCAAAACACCAAAAGCAATGGCAACAAAAGACAAAATTGACAAATGGGATCTAATTAAACTAAAGAGCTTCTGCACAGCAAAAGAAACTACCATCAGAGTGAACAGGCAACCTACAAAATGGGAGAAAATTTTCACAACCTACTTATCTGACAAAGGGCTAATATCCAGAATCTACAATGAACTCAAACAAATTTACAAGAAAAAAACAACCCCATCAAAAAGTGGGCGAAGGACATGAACAGACACTTCTCAAAAGAAGACATATATGCAGCCAAAAAACACATGAAAAAATGCTCATCATCACTGGCCATCAGAGAAATGCAAATCAAAACCACAATGAGATACCATCTCACACCAGTTAGAATGGCAATCATTAAAAAGTCAGGAAACAACAGGTGCTGGAGAGGATGTGGAGAAATAGAAACACTTTTACACTGTTGGTGGGACTGTAAACTAGTTCAACCATTGTGGAAATCAGTGTCGCGATTCCTCAGGGATCTAGAACTAGAAATACCATTTGACCCAGCCATCCCATTACTGGGTATATACCCAAAGGACTATAAATCATGCTGCTATAAAGACACATGCACACATATGTTTATTGCGGCATTATTCACAATAGCAAAGACTTGGAACCAACCCAAATGTCCAACAATGATAGACTGGATCAAGAAAATGTGGCACATATACACCATGGAATACTATGCAGCCATAAAAAATGATGAGTTCATGTCCTTTGTAGGGACATGGATGAAATTGGAAATCATCATTCTCAGTAAACTATCGCAAGAACAAAAAACCAAACACTGCATATTCTCACTCATAGGTGGGAATTGAACAATGAGATCACATGGACACAGGAAGGGGAATATCACACTCTGGGGACTGTGGTGGGGTGCGGGGAGGGGGGAGGGATAGCATTGGGAGATATACCTAATGCTAGATGACGAGTTAGTGGGTGCAGCGCACCAGCATGGCACATGTATACATATGTAACTAACCTGCACAATGTGCACATTTACCCTAAAACTTAAAGTATAATAATAAAAATAAATAAATAAATAAAAAACTAGAAAAAAAAAGAAATAATAGATAACATAAATAAATGGAAAAATAATAATAATAATAATTTTCTCTAATGTCACTGTGATGACCCAATTTCCATCACAGAAATCTACAGTGACTTAGTATTTTTTGAGATGGTGGGCATTTGATCTCTAATTTAACTCTCATTTTACAGATGTAAGTCTTGGAGACTCAGAGAAGTTGCAAATTTCATTTATTCTGTCATTCAAAATTCCCTATTTTATCTACTGGGTAGCAGGTGCTGTGAGAGACAATTGAGATATAAATATTAAAAAAAGTTACTACTAGTCCCCTGATCACATTTTATTGGAGGACACAGATTGTAAATGAATGCATAACGTAAAGAGTATGTATGATCCATTGTTTAATAGAATATACTTTTAGTCAGCCAAGTTGAATTTTACGCTTAGTTTACAACTCAGTGCTTCTGATCTTAGAAAATTTCATATTTCTGGGTGTAAAATTTTCAAAATATTTTTAGTTGGCAATTTTGTTATTTTTAATTTTTTGCTAATTTATTCGTTTTTAAATTGACATGTAAAACTATATGTATTTATCATGCCTAACATATTGTTTTGAAGCATATATACATTAAAGAAAAAATAGTTAACTCTAGCCAATTACCAAATGCATTACCTCACATAGTTATCATTTTTGGGATGAGAACACTTAATATCCAATCCTTTAGCATTTTTCAAGAATACAATATATTGTCACTGACTAGAGTCACCATGCTGTACAATAGATCTCTTGAACTTATTCCTCCTATCTATTTATAACTATGTAAGATTAGTGTTTACAATGTATATAGATTACACATAAAAGTACCAGGAAATATTAAGTCTTTCCCACCTTTTATTTGTAGGATTCCTAATAGATCTAATATCGATCAATAGTGGAAGAATATTCAGCTGTACCGAGGAAAATGCAAGTAACTTCTCCAGTTAGAAAATGGAACACTGTCTGCCTTGTGAGTAAAAAAGTGTTGAATTTCACTCGAGAAAAAAAGAGACAGAGCGGGGATGAGACATTTAGAACGGCAGAGTGAGAACTTCCAGCGGTACATTGATAAAACCAACAAAAATATTGGCAACAAACTGTCAAAGTCAAGATTTTTGGAATTCTGGAAATTAACCAAAGTACTGAAACAACAAGAAGAATGTTTCTTTGAGAAAATCTGAGAACTTTAACAAGAACATCAGGACAGGATTAATAGTCATATAACTTGACCTACTCCATTGCTTTCTTCCTACCTCTGCAGTGGCCTTGAAAACTGGCAAAGTCACAATCACAGTAACTCAGAAAACAGCCTTTTAGCTACAGCTAAGGGCAAACCATATTTGGAGTTTTTCAAAAAGTCCCAAAGCTAGAGCTGGTTCACTCTTTGACTTGCCTGTTACCTACCTAGAGAAGCACTGGTTGCAGGATGTTGTCATTATTTGATCTAACTCAGAGCTCACATCAAGAGAGAAGCCCTGTCTCTAGGGCATTTTTTGAAAACAATCAATGAAAACTCTTTTCACATAACAGTTCCCTAAAGTTCTGACATATATTGGGTCAAAAAAGGAGATGGACAAAACTTAAAAAGGAAAATCTGGGAAAAGAGATATCCACATGGATATTTGAAAAGCTGTAGAAGACCTTGTAAGGGCAAAGGTGTGTTCACGCCCCAAAATAACAGAAATAGCCACAGACTCTCACCTCTGGCTGTTTTTGAGCCAATTTAAAATCCTAGGATATGAATGAACTATGCTCACTTGGAATGACTAGTAAAGCTGAATCCAAGATTCACAGATCTTCTCACATGTAACATAGGTTTTCAGTAACCTTGTGTTCTGGGGACATAATTTTTCCTGGTATAGCCTCTCTAGGGACAAAGCATTATTTTTTGTATTTTTTTAAGTTTTGAGAGTGAGAGTGTGTGTGTGTGTGTGTGTGTGTGTTTTAAAGTAGTCAGAGTAAGTATTGTATAAATCTTATGTATGCCTTTTATTTATTTGGGTCTTTAAATGTGAATACACAAGAAAAGCAAACTCTCTTTTTGAGGTCCAGAGGACATTATTTACATTCTAGTGTGAGACAACATATTCTATACTTGTCAAAAGAAATCCCACTTTATAATTTAAGACTATGAGAGAGGCCTATGAAAATAGAAGCCATAATGTAGCAAAAGGTGATAATCTTTTCCCCATGTACTTACGGTTTAAGCCAAATACAATATGAGAAAAATAGGTGGGGAATGGTAAAACAGATGACTTGAACTCTATGCCACAGGCTACCATATGCAAGAACTTCCTTAAAGGAACTCTTCTAACACTATCTCCACACATACTCCCTTCTTCCCTTGGAGATGTGAGTTATCTGATTGGTGTCTTTGGAAGAAAGAGTTGAACATATTTAGCTCAGCCCCTGCCAATGGTCCTCCACACTTCAGTATATATATGCAAGTTGGCTCTGTGGCCATAAGAGAGATATGAGGCTTTAGGGTAAGCAGTTGTGTTCAGGGGGACTATAAGCAAACTCACTCCATCACAGGATAAGGCTACATGCTCCAAACAGCTTTGTCAGAAACATAAACAATGTATTGATATACATCTGGTTTATTCTTAGATCTCACTCTCAGTTGTTCAAGTCAGTAAAGACAGGGCTATTATTTACTAATCCCCTAAAATCTCAACAACTCACATAGATATTTATCTACTTGGAAAGAGAAGTTGTTGAAAGAATGAAATAATTATGTTTGGATCCCACTGTAAAAATTGATGTGCTCACTTATAGGATGCTTTACAGCTCTGGTTTTACAATGTTCGGATTATTAACACTGTAGAGACTGGAGAATATTCTGAAATTTCTCCTCAGCAAATGTGTACTTCTGCATAAAATTAATGATACAACTTCAGAGCCTCATGGGCTCCAATCTATATGATACTTAGCATTTCTCTGACATTTAAAACTCAAGTGCTGCTTTATAATTCAATAGAAGGTAAGTCACTGAAAAATTTACATATTAAGCGAGTGTTATAGCTGAGTGAAACTGGCAATATGAAGACCCAAAAGTAAGCAAATGACTCATTTTCATTATTACTTTACATGTATTACTGTATTAGTCAATTATCATGTTGCTATGAAGAAATACCTGAGACTTGGTGATTTATAAAGAAAAGAAGTTTAATTGGCTCACGATTCTGCAGGCTCTACAGGAGGCATAGTGGCTTCTGCTTCTGGCTGGGGGAGCGGGGGTGGGGGGCAGGAAACTTCCAGTAATGGTGAAATGCAAAGGAACAGCAGGCTCATCTAAGGGAGCAGATACTACATACTTTTAAACAACCAGGTCTCCTAAGACCCCACCATCACAAGAATAGCACTGAGGATATGGTGCTAAACCCTTCATGAAGGATCCACCCTCATTGTCCAATCTCTTCCCATCAGGCCCCACTTCCAATATTGAGGATTACAATTGAGCATAAAAATTGGGTGGGAACACAGATCCAAACCATATCAATTTCTTTCATTTATAAAATGTCAAGCACTATAGAAAATTAACAATACTGTAGTATTAGTTCGTATACCTGTTTCAAAAACATGTATATACATGGCTTTAAAAACTTGTATATACATGCTTTAAAAACAGTGGAAAAATGTATATATGATTCAAGAGGTCTCAACAATTTTAGTTATTTTCAAAGTTTATCATCTTTTTTTCTAATTTAATTTGGACAACAAGCATCTACAATATAAACTGATTCATGTAAGTATATAGTAAGACTAAATTAAAAGAGAATTTGATATGAAGAATATGCTAGTTCAAAAGTTTAAATTTAATAAAACCTATTTTTATTTCCTTGCATGCTATAACCTAAACTCATGCATATGTCCCTTTGTGCTAATTCATCAAAAATTATTTTAAAAATAGTGCTAGGTAAAATTTGATATATAGCGTAATGAAAAATATTAAGTAATGTCAAATAATTATCTTAGCAACTGTGGTAGGCTGTAAAGCAAAATCATACCTATGTCCTAATCCCTAGAACCTGCAAGTATCACTTTATTTAGAAAAGGGGGCTGTACAGATGTATTTTATAAAACAACCTTGAAACAAGTTTACCATCCTTGGTAATTGGGTGGGCTCTAAATGTCATCACAAATATCCCTGCAAGAGAGACAGAGATTAGACCACCATACACCCAGAGAAGAGGGCAATGCAAAGATAAGCAGAAAGATGTGACCACATACAGAATGCCAACAGCCACCAGAACTTGAAAGTAATGAGGAACAGATTTTACCCTGTAACTTTGTGGTAATTCATCAAAAATTATTTTAAAAGTAGGGCTATGTAGTCACTGGAGGGAGTGTGATCCTACTGACACCTTCATTTCAGACTCCTGAACTCTAGAGCTGTGAAATAACAAATTTCTGTTGTTTTAAGCCACCAATTTATGCTGATGTGTCTATGGGAACTAATGTAAACTAATACAATAGGTCATGTTAATTAAGTGCTGACTGTTTCAGGCATTCTTTTAAGGCTTTTCTTCTGTTCACTCATTCAAGCTGTGAAAGATTAAGTAGTAGCCTGCATTTACCACGTTCCTCTTCAGAGCAAGTATTGTTCTAAGCATTTCACATAGTTATTCAGGCAGTATTTGAATCCACACAGCTTGACAAGACAATCTGGACTTTCAACCATTCTGCTATCTTGTCTTTAAATAGGTTATTAGTTTATTCAAGTTAGTTTATTTTTTCCGTAATATACTATCCATGGGAGCAAATAATCAGAGCTATCTATGAATTGTGGCTACACTGAAAAATTGCTTAGATAATGAATGCTGTTGACAGAAAATTTGTCTTAAGAGTTTAGATTAATTTGCAAATATAATTCTCAGAACCAAAAATTATACTCAGTGTAAATGGATATTGTTACAGCTTCCATGTAAATTTCAATTTCATAATCAATTTTGAGCCTTTCTGTAATGAGAAATGACAAAATAATCTTAATAATGAACTGGCATGTTAATTCCAAATACTCTTCACCCGACAACATCTATTGTATTTAAACATCTGTTTTCAGTTTTAAACAGAATTTTAAAAATCATTAAAGAACACTATTTCAAATAAACTTGTAAACCTTAGAATGTGTTTGCAATTATAGAATACAATGTTTGGAATTCACTGCATAAATACCTCAAAGTTTTTCTGTTACTATTTATTCCCAGTGACTCAGCAAGTAGCTGAGACCTACTTTCCATATTCTTTTTCTCTGTATATTGTTAACATACCCCCTCATTAACATCCTACATACATGCCACACACACCTACATGTACTCACACATGATAATTTTAGGTATTTTGGGAAAATACAAAAAAAAAAATCTACTACATTTTTCCAATGCTAAAATAATTTAATAAGAAGGATTGTTAACAATAGTAACCTTATCTAAATCATTAATAATATGTGTGTATATATACATATATATATGTGTAGATACATATGTACATATATAGTTTATATCATCATTTATGCTATTAGTTCAAATACTCATATGATGACTTCACATATAACCTATTTTTGGTGGCAATAGGTCTGTGAGCAGTAAACTATGAAGAATCAGTTATACAGGGGCAGATAAGTGAAACCATTGTTTAGTTAGGCTACTGAAACCATCATATTTATATGTTTTGAAGGATTTTATAATTATTAAATATTGGGGAACAAAATAATTTGTCATTTTAGTTTATAAAATTGGAATTATATACATTTATTTTTGGTATCAATAATGGTTTTAAACAGTGAGGAGTGTTGACATTAATAATTTATTTTTTTCTCCCTTTATATGTGTAGCCTTGCCATTAAGAGTTCAGTAGCACTTTTCTATCTAGAACAGACATTTCTGTAATTTAAGCAACTGGAGCAGTTAACTCTACTGTATCAGTTCCTGGCCTTTTCTCTGTCATGTTCCTGCTCATTCCATGTAGTTCATTAGGGTATGGTTAAAAACACAAAATTGGTAATAAAAGTTACATACTGGGAACAGGTCGCAGACTTCTGAAATAAGTCACAATACTCAGCCCAGATTCTGATATGGGTTTTCCGTGTTAGGTGATCCATTGCTTCTTTCCCATATCTAATCCCTGTATCCTGAGTTGTATCTCCTTATGGGACCTTACAAAGCAATGAAACAACTGAGCCAAAGCTGCTTTTGAGTATTTCAGAAACTTTAAGCCATAATACCATTAAACAGAACCCAAATCCAAACATTTTTACTCTTAGTCCAAGTTTTATCAGAAAAGTCAAGAAGATGCACAGGACACTAGCTTTTGAAAGACAATTTCATGATGCCATAAAGGCTCTGTAAAGGGAGACAGTTGTCATATTTAGGTGCCTTATTTCAAGTTAGGCTGTAGCTGCTGTTAGATAGGATGGAAATTTATATTGAAGATAAAGACACATATTTTCATGGTTTCAAACAAAAACCTAGATAGAAGCCTAGTGGACAGTCCTCATGCCATAAGAGTAAAAGGTAACTGGGTAAAATTTACAGCAATAGTGTCAACTCCATTAAGGAAGTAAGTCTTAAGCAATAGCTGAAAATCTTATGAACATGAATTTCACAGCTAGATACTAAATCAGCCACTTTGGTCTTGAAATGCATCAAAATAACACAGCTCTAATATGTGAAATTTCTTGGGATTTGTACTTCTAATGGCCATTTTAACTGTTATTAGAATATTTGCTCTAAATGTTTTCGGAGACTTGTAGTGAACTGAAAGCATGATCTAGCTCCTAAAGCATTCAGTTTTATTCGTCAGTCTATCCATTAATTTATTTAGTCATCATTTGTTTATTTATTCATCCTGTTAGTTACACGATTGTTGCATGTTAGAGAAATTAAATATTTAATATGTAATGGTGTACAAAAGGTAACATTTGAATTCATAAAGCATACATTGAAGTGGAAATTTAAAATCACACATAAAATGCATAATTATAATTACAGATAAATGCATTGAAATGAAAATTTAAAATCGCACATAAAATGCATAATTATAATTACAGATACGTGTTATCGAAGAAGAAATACAGAATGTAAGAAAATAATACAGTAGGAAGATCTCCACAGCTTTGTCCAGGGGGGGAGGGGTAAAAATAACAAAATATTTTTTAGAAAGCATTCAACTTCCCGACTTGATATAGAAATTTGATCAAAATTTCAGAAAGGAATAAAATACAGTTGGAAGATCTCTGCAGCTTTGTGCAGGGAAGGGGAGGGGAGCAGCAAAAACAATAACATAGTTTTAGAAAGCATTCAACTTCCTGGCTTGATATACAAATTTAATCAAAATTTCAGAAGGAGAATAGACAATATCTCAAAAAGCACAACTATGGGAAACTCAAGCTTAGCTTTCTTTTTCTTTTTTTTGCCTTTAACCATCAAAAATCAGAAATTTACAAACAGTAACAAATCTGAAGTTTTTTTTAAAAAAGGTAGAAAAGTTTATTATTTTCTGCACGATGCATGGTCTTTATAATGTTGATTAATTAAATCTTATAAGAAAGAAAAAATAGTGTTCCCAACATATATATTTGAATATACATGTTACATGTGTATTAAAAAGAAAACAAAATTACTCTAGATGATTTATAATTTCAATAAAATTTCAATTATATTATAACAGATTTTTTTAATAACGTAATTCTAGTATCAGAATAGCATTCTCCCTGTAAACAACTAACAAATTAAATAAAGCATCTTTTTCAAGAGTTACAGGTAAAAAGCAAAATAGGCCTGCGTTTCTTCAGAGAGAGGAAATCCAAGGTAAGCCTGTGATTGCTTTCTCATTGGAGTATGTTAGACCTGTGCTAGCCAATGTAGTAGCCATTGACTACATGAAGCTGTTCAAATTTAAATTAATTAAGATTTGAAATTCCATATCTTACAGTGCATCTGTGGAGCATCCCTATGCTTTGGCCTGTTCTTCCTTATTGATAGCTATTGTTTCAAACTATGTAATGTTTTTTCTTCTAACTTCAGAAATTCCTCCACTTATTTTTTTATAAAGGCTAAGTTATATAGTGTAATGAGCTTATTTTCTTTTCCTCAATATTTATTTATGTGCCTGGCCTGTTTTCTGTTGCTAAATATGTAACCATTAACTGATGCAATGAATATGTCCTAAAACATTTCCAGTATGCTAGTCTTTGAGGCCTTCACAGCTCCTGGGCCCCACAGGTACTCACACACCCATACCCAACAATAAGGTAAGCCTAGTTGCCCATTCTATCTCATGTCAATGCTTTAAACCCCTTCTTAATTTTCACTTAGGGGTATCCTTGTTTTTCAAACACTTTCATAAAAATTTCCACTTCATTAAGTGCTCTTTCAATATACATACTGGGATAAAGGAACCCTGTTGGCTGAATGAAAATTGGTCCAGGCCAATTGTGCTGAAACACAGGAGCCTGCCAAATCCTCAGGGTTGCCAAGTAAAATATAGTATCCCCATTACATTTGAACTTCAGATAATCAATTATGTCTTTCAGGAGACATTCAAAATATGCATTGGGCACATGTATTTTTTTTTAAGAAAGTATTCCTTGATTATCTGAAATTCAAAATTAACTGGTGTCCTGAATTTGTATTAGCTGAATCTAGCAAGCTTAGAGTGTATGATGGAAAATATTGTCCTTTTTGGTATCTAATCTAATCTAATAACACTTTGGAAGTGTTATTCCAATGCTGCAGAACACTAAAGTGATGCTTGACGTCATGACGTGGCAAATGTGATGTGGGTCAGGGACATGGGTCTTTCTGTGCGGGCAAGAATACACACATCTGAAGTGTAGATTTAATCCTTTACTTAAGATGTAAAAAAAGTTAAAGTGCTGCATGTGTTGAATAATAGAGGTTACATGCTAAGTCAGGTCTGGAACAGAGGGGCTGAAGCTGTTCATAGTACCTCCATAGGGCGCTCAGACTGGGATTTTTTTCAGAGTGATTATTTGAAGAAAGGAGATATCTCAGCATCCTGCTTAGTCTGTTAGTAGGCCTGAGGTTAAAATATCATGGTTCTTTGATATTTAGTTCTACCTACTAACACAAAAGCCTCTTTCAGGACGAAAGCAGCCCTGGGCACTCTCTACTCAGGATTTCTGACTTTCCCTAGCCAGAAACCCACTATTCCTTCAACCACAATCCAGGGTTAGTTATTCAAGAAAGTGAAGATTTTCTCTTAAATGTTAAAAGTATAAATATTTTGTAAATTTTTTTGGACAATTGTGCTTAACTCTTCAATATCTACATCTATGGAATCTCAAGCTATTTATTTATAAGTGCCTTTTATAAATATTTAAGAGAACCATTAAAGGGACTCTTCAATGCTTTTTTGGTCCCAAGAATCTTCTGTCTCTCTTTATATTTTGAAATAGTTGCTATTTTTGGAGAGAGTGCCAAACGGCTGAAAAGTAAATAAATGCTAATTTGAAGGGAAGCAGGCCATCCATCTGGTGAGACATCATTGTGCAAATAAATTGATGGTTTCTTCTGTTTCCTCAGTCCTGACTTTTGTTTCTAGTAATATATCGATGCCAGGTATTGTTCTTAGTGATTGTGTGTGTGTGTATATATATATATATATATATATAGTGTGTATATATATATATATATATACACACATATAGTCTATATATATACACATATATATAGTCTATATATATACACATATATATAGTCTATATATATACACATATATATAGTCTATATATATGTATATATATAGAGAGACTATATATAGACTATATTAAATGACTATATATACATAAATGACTATATTATATTTATATATAGTTATTTAACACAGTATATATATTGTCATTTAATAGAGTCTATATATATTTATATATAGTCATTTAATATAGTCACTGAAATATAGTCATTTAATCATTTAATTAGTTTTAATATGGTCATTTAATTAGAAGGTGTACTTAGTGACTATATACATATATACACACATACACACACAAAAACCTATAGTCATTTAATCCTTATAATATCCTATGAGTTGGTATTATTATTATTATTATTATTATTATTATTATTATTATTACTTTACCAGTGAGGAAACTTTAGAACAAAGAGATGAAGTTATTTGAACAAAATGTACACAGATAGTATGCTGGTATTTGTTAGAACTGAGAATTGTACTCCATGTTCTGGTTCTAATGTTTATTGTTTGAACCACTCAGCTGTACAACTTGTTGGCCTCTCATTAGCTACATATTTGTACATTGGGAGTCTTCAAAGTTAATGTGAAATTACATTAACTTGTATTAGTCAAAGGTCTTACCCTATACCCAATCACCCAAGTTAGAACATCCAGTCCACTCCCTACTCTTCCTCATGTGCACAAGTTTTACTGACTCTGTTACTAAAAACAAACAAAAAACTTTCTCAAGAACACAATTATGCTTTTTATTTCTGTTTTTATTTATTTATTTTTGAAAGCCTCAACCCCTTTTGTATGGATTTAAAACCAAAAATGTTTATTTTCCTGACACTGGATCCTTTCTGATTTCATTTCAGTTGTTATAATGCCTCCAGAGAATTTACGCTAAACAGGAAGCCAATTGCATTGCTTTTCATTAACATGAAATCCTCTTGATTTTATCTTCCATCAGTACCTGGGCCATAAGGAAACTAACAAAGGCATAGGATAAATTGCCTGGTATTGTGAGTAAAGATTTCTTAAAGTAGTTGGGAACCTGATGTTAAAAACTAATAGAAATTAAACACAGAAATAAATAACAAGTAACATTCTTAGCTTTTCTCAGGTGGACTTTCAAAGATACTGGTATTTATGCTTCAAACACTCCTCCTCTTTGCCTGAATAATTCGTATTTCTCTGTCAGTCCTTAGTTTTGGTAAGACTTTCTCTGGGAAGTCTTCTTGACACACCAGGAATAAGTTTCCCACAAAATAGTACTTATTATTCTACATTTTAGTTGTTTTTTTAGATTCCATACACCTTTCTGGACTCTATATGAAAACAACCCATTAGTCTCAAATAGCTTCAGCTTGTACCAAAATTATGCTTCCTTCAATTTTCTGTCTTTACTCTTGCATATAATTGGTTTCCACTCTCATGAATCCTAGGAAGGGGGAGTGTGGAGTGGGAAGTGTGAGTTGAAGTGTATCTTTGCTTATTTGTCTAAATTCACTATAGCCAATTACCTCTTCTTTGGAAGACTCTAAGCCTTTTTATGGTGCCAGAAGTGTCTACAGTGAACTATTAGCTAGTTTTTGATAAGTATTGTTATAAAAGTCTCCTAAAGTGTCTCTGTTCCTTCATGATTTTTAAATTTCAGTGCCATCATTATTATTCACTAGATATGTGGAATCTACAAATCTCCCCAAACACACACACTCAGACACACACAAAACACACACAAAAAGCACAGATTCTGAACAGCAGTAACTTTTAAATGTACAGTTATGTTAACAAGAAGATACAGGAATAACAAAAACAATTGTGGAAGAATGGAATTAGTATGAATACGAAGATTCTGTCACTGAAGCCCTGAGAGTATTTAATTACACATTATCATATTAAATTACCATACATCAAAAAGATTAAACTTGTTACACAAGGCAAAAGATATATTACAACACATAGGAAGGATGGGTATTTAAATTTGACACTCAATTACAAAGCTGGATATTAGGACAGGTTACAATATCAAAAAAATGGTAGATCAGGAATGGCATAATGATACAGATTAACTTGTTAATCTTGGATTTAACAATTTTAGAGAGAAAATTTCCTCCATGAGAAGTGTTAACTATAGTTCTGACATCATTGGAGTTGGAGTTAAAATGGGAATTATCTGGGAAACCCTAAGAGCATTCATACTAAAGTCTATAATCCTGGGTGGCATCATATAACATTTAATTATCCTCAAGTGAAACAGTGCTGCAATCCAGGCCCTCCAATATTTTCATAGATTCAGTTCAGTTAAACACAAGCCCAAATCCAAAACTGGAAATACAAGAAAATTGTGAGAAAGAGAGACACCAAGAGACATAATCAGCAAAAACAACAAAATGAAAATCAACCATCCTACGTCCAAAGCATTTGATACTTGAAGAACACAACATAAGCTACAAAATCTATATTTCTTAATGTTCAGAAAAAGAAAGTACATAAAATTTTATCTGAGAGCTTTAAATCAAAACCAGTGGAACTTCAAATGTAAAAAATATAATAAGGATTGAATGTCTACTAGTTCAGTTAAATATCAGATTAGACACTAATGGCAAATAAACTAGTAAACTTTAAGTCACACATAATATAATCATCTGAAGTATACTCCAATAAGAGAAAGACATAGAAATTTAAAGGCCAGTGCAAGACATCAAAACTGGATTGAGGACATATAATACAGCTAACCTGAGAGTCAATGTTGAAAGAGATAATGACAGAACATTATAAGAATGTTCATTAGTCAGGCTCCCTTATATTCAGGAAGCAAAATTTCTCTCAAGCAAAACAGTACATATATATATGTGTGTGTGTCTCTGTGTGTGTGTGTGTGTGTGTGTGTGTGTGTGTGTGTGTGTGTGTGTATGTACGTCACCATAACGGATGCCAAAGGGGTAGAAGAAGAGATATTGAAAATAAATGAGAAAGAAAGCAGATAGCCTATATGATGATGAGTTTAATCAGAGGCTCTACAGAAGTTAACCATGGAATTAGAAAGATAGTGGAAAGTTGTTTTTAAAAGGGTGAAAGAAATCACATCAGCCTACAATTGTATCCTTAGTAATCTGTCAACCTGGAATAAAACACAATAGAAAACGTGTAGAAATTACTATAACAAGTGCTAAAGACATTCTTCAGGAAGAAGAAAATGTCAGAAGGATGATTTGAGGTAAAATAAGAAATTTTAAAAAACAGAATTAATAAAATTAAAAGTAATTATGAATACAATTTTGCTTCATAAAAACACCAAATATAGTTTTTTCTTTTTCTTTTTCTTTTCCAATATGGCAGATTAAAAGCTTTTAGCATGTGTCAGGCACTTGGAAATAGCAAAATACTGCATAAAGATAAATTCTGCGAGCTTTAACTCAAGAAGGAAAATGGAAATTCACCACAATAGTGAAGGACACCTCTGATCCTGCAGAGAAGGAGGTGGGCAAGCAGCTTCTCTAACGGCATCTGACTAATAAAAATGACTGAACCTCCTGTACATGAGAAGGGCAGAGAGTCTTCCATTGTGACTCAACTTTCCACTAAGTGACATGTATAATCCAGGCCAAGGGAGAGCATTTTGCTTCTCTCAAGTCTTGGAGCTAACCTGGGAAGAGGTTGGACATGCTGAGAGGGAAAGACATGGGGAAAATCTGCTGCCATTTTCCAAGACCTGCAACAGAGAGGAGGATTCCATTTTTAATCCAGGCTCTTGCAAAGTCAGTCATGTCTGGTGACACAGCAGGACAGGCACACAGGTATTATAATCTCAGGCCAGAGATTGAAGTGCTTGCTCTAAAGGGGTGGAAGGGCCCCTACAGCCAGAATTGAGTAGCAGGTGTGGAAAGCATCCCAGCACTAGACAATAGACTTGGGCTATCTCCCATCACAGACTGGAGTGGGAAGAGAGTTGTTGAAACTGAGGTTTCTCCTGAGCAGAAAGACTTGAAGACAGGGAGAGTTTTGTATCCCGAAACTTTTCTGCATGTGTCATTGCTGGGTGCCTCTGCCCGCTCCCCTGAGATCATGAGGGGAGGCCTGAGGCCCTCTCTACTCTAGCCCCAGGCAGAACATCTGGCATTTAGAGTACACATTTGCCTGGACCAGCAGCCTGAGCCACCCACCCTTTCTGGGCACAGATCATGGTGCAGCAGAGCCCTCTCTGCTCCATGCTCAGGGAAATCTCCAGACATCTGGAGTACACATTAGCCCAAGTCAGCAACCTAAGGCACCCTACCCGTTTTGTGCAGAGATCTTCATGAAGTGGTGAAGCAGTGCAGCCTCCACTCCATGCCTGGCATATTTCTAGGTATTTGCTGCACCCCCTTGCCTGGATTAGCTGCCTGGGCTGCTCCCTCTTTCCTGCAAAGATGTTGTTGCATCACTGGGTACTCACCTCCTTGCTGGGGGACAATGAAAATACCTCCTTTCCTGGATTAGCGTAAGCTACCCCCCTTTCTCCTGCAAAGACCTTGTTGCAGTGGCAGTTTTTTGAATCCTCTCCAGGGAATACTTCCAGCCACCCACTCACCTGGAGAGCCTGAGCTGCCCCTCTTGCTATGCAAAGACCTTGGTGTAGCAGCACACTCTCTGCACACTCTCTCAGCACACTCACCTGGAAAGCCTGAGCTGCTCTTCCTTCTGTGCAAAGACCTTGGTAAGGGAGCACACTCTCTGCTCTATGCCCAGACATATCTCCAGGCCTTTGGTACACATGCTCCCTAGAATAGGAGCTTGAGCTGTCATCCCCTTCCCACACACACAAAAAAGCTTGGTATAGTAATACTCCCTCTGCTCCACACCCAGACATAAGTCCAGGCATTTGGCATACCTACTCCAGTGGGTTAGAAGTTTGAGCCACCCCCCCCTTCCTTCCTATGCAGAGATCTTGTTGTGCCAGCAGTTTACTTCTTCCCAGGCATATTATCCATCATGAGGTGCACCTGTCCCCCTGGAGTAGGAGTTGATCCACCCATCCTGTCTACCGCAATGATCTTATGGCAGCAATGACTTCTCCACTCCTTTCCAAGTCATATTTCCACATATCTGGCACACCCACTTTCCTGACAACATTCTAAGCCACCTCTCCCTTCAGGTGTAAAATCTTGGTGCACCAGTGCTCTCTCTGCTCAATGTCCAGACATATCTCAAGACATTTGGAGCACACAGTCTTCTAGATTAGGAGTTTAGACATCACTACTTTCCATGCACAGTACTTGAGGCAGTGGAAGTTACACAACTCCATCTCTACAAACACCTCTGGATACTTGGCAGCCTCCCACTGGATACCCCCGTGGAACTGGTGCTTGTGCTTGCCATTGGGGAAACTGTAGGTGGGCCTGGCTGGTGTGGTTTTGCCCTTCTTGGTCTCTCCTCCTCTAAGCCTGAGCAAGGAGGGAGCTCAGTCCATTGCGCATTCCAGAGATCAGCCTGAGGCAGGGAAAGTTTGCCTTAGCAAAGTAGGATCCAGTATAAATCCATCCACATTGGCTGGAGCAGCTTTTACCCATAAGTGCCACCTACTGGCCTGGATGTTAAAGAGCACAACACACAGGAAATTTGGCAGAGGCACAAAGCACTGGGGGAGCAGTTTCCTAAGACTTCCACCATCCTGGCCCACAGGAGGGAGTCAGCCTGCTCACACTCCAAGCACATTGCTACTACAACCAGCATTTGGGGAAGCCACTATACAAAGGCTATCTATAACCAAAGATCTTATACTGACTGCCTTGGAAAATACCCAGAACCAAAGTCAATGGACCCTACACAACATCATACGTTATACTTCCTTAGGATTGGATTGGGGTGTGGGGGAAAATACTATTCAAACAAAAGCAATATTAAAACATAAGGAGAGGTAGCTTATCCAAATATGAAGAAAAAAAAAACAGAGAAACAAATCAGAAGGCATAAAAACAAAAAACAAAAAAAGAAAATCTGAAAAAACAGTGATACAGCACTCCAGAAAGGGAACATTAACTCTCCAAAAACTGAATTCTAACCAAATTGAAATTTTAAAAATATCAGACAAATATTTTAAAATATTAATTTTAAAGAAGCTCTATGAGATCTAAGTGAAAACTAAAAATCTACACAAAGAAATCAGGAAAGCCATTCAGGACAGGAAAGAATGAGATAGACACCATAAAACAAAACAAAACAAAACAAATACAATTCTGGAAACAAACAAAACAAATTATTGAAGGAGTTACAAAATATGGCTGAAAGCTTTAATAATAGGCTAGACCAAATGGAAGAAATAATTTCAGAGCGGAAGACAGATCTTTCAAATTAACCCAGTCAGAGAAAAATTTTTAAAAAGAGAAAAAAAAGAAATATCTGAGAAATATGGGATTATATAAAATGTGCAAACCTATGAGTTATAGCTATTCCAGAAAGAGAAGAATAAATAAAAAGTATAGAAACCCTATCTGAGGAAATAATTCAAAAAAATAAATAAAAAGTATAGAAACCCTATCTGAGGAAATAATTCAAAAAAAATTCCTGGGTTTGGGAGAGATTTGAACATTGAAATATAAGAAGCTCAGTGAACTCCTGGAAAATACTTTGCAAGAAAAACTTCACCAAGGCATATATACATAGGACTATCCAAAGTCGATGTGAACAAAAAATTATAAGAGCAGAAAGACAGAATTCTCTTTATCACCCAGTGATATCACTAGACAGATCTTCAAGGCTGAAAATCATCAAGGAAACTCTGGACTTACACTGGACTATAAACCAAATGAACATAATGAACAATGACAAAATGCTTTATCCAACAGCTGAAGAATATACATTCTTCTCACCTTCACATGGAACATGCTCTGAAATCAACCATATACTTGACCATAAAGCAAGTTTCAATAAATTTAAAAAATTAAATGCATGTCAAGTATATTCTCAGACCAGAGTGGAATAAAATTAGAAATAAATATTAAGGCCAGGCGCGGTGGCTCACGCCTGTAATCCCAGCACTTTGGGAGGCCGAGGCGGGTGGATCATGAGGTCAGGAGATCGAGACCATCCTGGCTAACAAGGTGAAACCCCGTCTCTACTAAAAATACAAAAAATTAGCCGGGCGCGGTGGCGGGCGCCTGTAGTCCCAGCTACTCGGGAGGCTGAGGCAGGAGAATGGCGTGAACCCGGGAAGCGGAGCTTGCAGTGAGCCGAGATTGCGCCACTGCAGTCCGCAGTCTGGCCTGGGCGACAGAGCGAGACTCCGTCTCAAAAAAAAAAAAAAAAAAAAAAAAAAAAAGAAATAAATATTAAGAGGAACTCACAATACTGCGTAAGTACATGGAATCTAAACAACTTGCTCCTGAATGACCTTTTAGAAAACAACAAAATTGAGGCAGAAATCAATATATTTTTCAAAATAAATAAAAATAGAGTCACAACACACCAAAACCTCAGGGATGCAGCAAACTCAGTGTTAAGAGGTAAGTTTATAGCATTAAATGGCCACACCAAAAGGACACAGGAATCTCAAATTAATCATCTAATGTTGAACCTCAAGGAACTGGAAAAACAAATAATCCAAATCCCTTAGAGAAGAACTAAATGTGCCTGAGACAATGGAAGAAGATATAATGGAACTATAAAACAAAAATTTGTTTTTCTGAAAGAGTAAATAAAATTTACTGACTGATAGCTAGATTAACCAGAAAAAGATTCAAATAACAACAATCAGAGATAAGAAAGGAGATATTACAACTGATACCTCAGGAAAAAAAAAATTGTGAGACTGCCATGACCTCTCCCATACACACAAACTAGGAAAACTAGAGGAAATGAATATATTTCTGGAATTACATAACCTCCTATGACTTAACCAGGAAGAAATAGACATCCTAAAAAGACTGATAATGCATAATGAAATTGAATAAGTAATAAATTTTTTTAACAAAAAAAGCCCAGGAAAGATGAATTCACAGATGTATTTTACCAGACATACAACAAGGAGCTGGTATCAATCTTACCGAAACTATTTCAAAAAATCGAGATGGGACTCCCCGCTAACTCATATGAAACCACTATCACCCTGATATCAAAATCAGGCAAGAACACAACAATAAATGAACATATGATATGGTTGGCTCTCTGTCCCCACTCGAATCTCATCTTGAACTGTAATCCCCAAGTGTCAAGACAGGAACCTGTAATCCCCATGGGTTGAGGGAGGGAGATGGAAACTTTCCTTTTCAATCTTAGATATTTCTTTATAGCAGTATGAAAAAGGACTAATACAACACAGATGCAAAAATCCTCAACAAATTACTAGCAAATCCTCTCCAACAGCACATCAAAAAGATAATTGATCAGGATCAAGTGGATTTTATTCCGTGAATGCAAAGATAGTTGATCACATACAACTTAATAAATGTGATTCACCACCTAATCAGTATTAAGAACAAAAACCATATAACCATCTCAATAGATGCAGAAATGGCATTAAATAAAGTACAACATCTCTTGATGATAAAAATTCTAAACAAACTAGGCTTCAAAGGAACATATCTCAAAATAATGAGGCAGCTATGACAAACCCACAGCCAACATCATGCTGAATGGGCAACAGCTGGAAGAATTTCCCTTAAGAACTGGAACAACGCAAGGATGCCCATTCTCACCACTCCTATTAAACATAGTACTGGAAGTTTTATCTTGAGTAATCAGGTAAGATAAATAAATAAAAGGCATCCGAATAGGAAAAGAGGAAGTTTAATTACCTCTGTTCACTTATGACATGATCATAAACCTGGCAAACCCTTAGGATTCCTCTAAAATACTCATAGTCTTGATAGACACACCAAGTAAAGTTTCAGAATACAAAATGAAGGTACAAAAATCAGTAGTGTTTCTTCACACCAATGATGTTCAAGCTGAAAACCAAATCAAAACTGTATCCTTTTTACAATAGCCACAAAAATATCTAGAAATATATTTAACCAAGAAGGTAAAAGATCTCTATGAGGAGAACTGCAATATGAAAGAAATTGTAAATGACATAAACAAATGGAAAAACATTCCACGCTCATGACTGGAAGAATCAATATCATTAAAATTACCATACTGCACAAATGAATCTCCATATTCAATTCAATTCCTATCAAACTGTCAATGTTATTTATTATAGAAAGAAAAACAATCCTAAAGTTCATATGGAATCAACAAAATCCCCAAATAGCCAAAGACATTTTAGGCAAACAGAACAAATCTACAGGCATCACGTTGCCTGATTCAAATTATACTACAAGGCTATAATAGCCAAAACAGCATGTCACTGGCATGGAAATAGACACAAAGTTCAATGGAATAGAGTTAGTAAATGTAAAGCTACATGCATACATACAGCTGATATTTGACAAAGCCAACAAAAGTAAACAAGAAAGTTCACCTTATTCAATAAATGGTGCTTAGAAAATTGGCTAGTCATACGCAGAAGAATGAACTGAATCTCTATCTCTTACTCTATACAAAATTAACTCAGGATGAATTAAAAATGTAAATGTTGACCTAAAACTATAAAAATTATAAAAGAAAACCTGGAAAAAGACTCTTCTGGACATCGTCCTAAGCAAATAATTTATAATGTAGTGCCCACAAGCAAATGCAACAAAAACAAAAATAGACAAATGAGACAATTAGATTAAAAATCTTATGCACAGCAAAATAAATTATCAATAGAGTAAACAGCCTACAGAATGGGAGCAAATATGTGCAAATTAGTCCTCTGACAAAGGGCTAAAATCCAGAATCTACAAGAAACTCGAACAACTCAATAAGACAAAAACAAACAGCCCATTAAAAACTGGCAAAGGACATGAACAGATATTTCTCAAAAGAAGAAATGCAAGAGGCCAATAAACAAATGAAAAAATACTTGACATCGCTAATCAACCGAGAGATTCAAATTAAAACCACAATAAAATAGCACCTTACACCAGTCAAAATGGCTATTATTAAAACATCAAAAAACAAGAGATCTTGGCAAGCATGCAGAAAAAGGGAATGCTTATACATTTTTTGTCGGAATGTAAGTTAATTCAACCTCTGAGGAAAACACTACGATGATTTCTCAAAGAACTAAACATAGCACTACCTTTTGACCCAACAACCCCACTACTATCTACCCAAACGGAAAGAAATAATTATATGAAAAAGACACCTGTACTTGTATGTTCATTGCAGCATTATTCACAATAGCAAGGTCTTGGAACAAACATAAGTGTCCATCAGCTATTTACTAGATAAAGAAAATGTGGTATAAATGCATTATGGAATACTGCATAGCTATAATAATGAAATCATGTCCTTTATAGCAACACGGAAGGACACTAGAAGCCCAATCTCCACCAGTATGCAATATATCCATGTAACAAAAAAAAATCTGAATAAAAAGATCCCTGAATCTAAAATAAAATAAATTTAAGTAAAATGGTAGCTTAATTACCAGAGCTGTGACTATTACATTACTGGTGCAGACCACTAACTCTAAACTCGTGCCATCTGTCTTTTCTTTTAGAAAACCATGACTACCAAAAGCCAATTATTAGATTTTAATTTTCTAAAATAATGAACAGGTCTCTTTGTTATATTGTTAAAGTGAAAAGCAGTTAATGAACCACTTTATAGTTTAGCAACTTATGTTCCATCAATTGCAAGTCACAACAATAAAAGCATATATAACATTATTCATTATCTCTTCATTGTTGATTTGCCTTCAGATACTTAGGATCTATAATATACAGTAGGTTGTACAACAATGAATAGTGGAAAACAAATTTATCCTTATTGCTATTCACTAACAGAGGTATATATGGAGATTAGTCAATATTATAAATTTCTAGGAACTATAAATTATCATTTTTAATTTTTAAAGACTTTTTATTTGGGGGTATGAAATAATGTTTTAGTGATGCTTAAGTTAGCAAAGGCTATAGAACTTCCATTATTGTTTATCATGCACATAATTTCAATCTATTTCAATCTAATAGCAAGTATTGTCTACATTGGGAATCCAAGTTTTACAGCCATTAGAAATCCATCACAGTATTCATTTGTAGTATGAAATAAAACTTGAAATGACTAATATCTTCCACTTGGGATAATAAAACATTTTACAAATTAGAGATAAAAAAGAAAAGCAAGATGGAAGAAGAAGACAAGAAGATCTTTTAGAATACCAGTACTAACTGCCTCATATATTACTGATAAATATCCTTATGTGAGAATATTAGCCACTAATTCAATTTTATAAAACTGAACACAAATTCCTGAAATACTTAAATCTATTTCAGTCTTTATGTTCTAACTTTTGTTTTTTAGTTACACTGATGTTCAAATAACCAAATAGATTTTGAATTAGTTACTTTAAAATATATGTGTTGAAATATTCCATTAATTTTCTATTCTGTCAATTATTTAAATTCATTTCCCTTTTTCATGAGGAACCATGGGATTAATACTTTTAACCATATTCTTGTACCTTAAGTATTACGGACATTTTAGATTAATACTTGAGAGATCCACCTGAACCTTTGAGTGTGCTATTTAAAAATACTCTTCTTGAAGCCTCAGGAGTAAATAAATAATTGGGATGCTTAAATATTCACTTTATATTAATAGATATTCCCGGATTGCAAAATCAAATTTTAAACAAGAATCCAGTGTCAGAACTATGATACCTTAAATTCCTTGACATAAGCTGAGAAATAATCATTGTCTCGAAAAATCATAATATGAATTTGTCAAGTGCTTGCTAGCCCCAAAATTACAAATCCTTTTTAAAATGATAGTTCTTAGAGATTTTATAACATGAATTTTTGTTTTAAATTTCTTGTTTCTCTTGCTTGTTGGGCATGTGTTAATGTTGGCTTTTTTATGTTTCAGCTTTAAACCTCTTCTCTGCCTTCGCAATTCCTTTCTCATCACATGCCAGATTATTATCTCTAATGCCGTAATTAATGGTTTAAGCTCTATTTCCTTTTAAATTTATCTAATGTATTCTGAGTACTCTATTGAGGCTTGTTTTTTTTTTTTTTTTTTTTTTGGCTTTTTAGATTAAAAATGTAATCTAGAGAACTGGTATGATCAATTCTATTTGGGTAGACATCAAGCATCAATCATCCAAGGAGATGTAATAGTAATAATAGCAAAAGAGTAATAATAATAATAATTGAATTTTATATAATTTATTCCTTTTTATTCACAAAAATATGTGAAGTACTACTAACTCTGTTTCGAAAATATGAGAACCAAGTCTTGGAAAGTTTGTCGCTTTTCATAGATCACACATCTAGAAATTGGCAGGGTTTAGACTTGAATCCAGTCTTTCTGGCTTAGTTACAGTTTTCTTCTATAAGATCACAGGTGCCAGCCAAGAAGAGAGTCAAAGGAAAGGAGCCTTTCAGCAGAATGTACCAGTTTTTTATGTAGACTTCCAAACACCTGTACTTACCACCTGGCAGCCCTCCTATGAATTTTCCTTTTCCCAGAAGCCTATATCATTTACTCTTTTTATTTCTCCCTGAATAATGATAATTCTTGTTGATTTTTCCTTTTATTTCCAATATTAACTGAACTAATACTAACCATAGTACTTAATACGGACATTAACATTAAATTTTTTATTTAGGGATTATTTCACCATAGATTTTCTTTAAATAGTGAGCTGTTAGTTGTTTTGATACAACACAGCATTTTCTAATGTATTTTTTTTATGTAGGATAGTATTTGATTTAGTAAAATTTAAGCTGAGACCTTAAAGATTGTTAGAAATTAGGGAAGTTTCATAGTATATGTAAAGGTTTTTGAATGAAAATAGATAAATTTGTTTCTCAGAGTGCAGAATGCACTTTGGAAAATATTAGACATTGTTATGCACTTTCTCACCTAGATGCACATTTTAAAAAAAAGAAAATTGGGAAGATTTTGTTTGCTAGTTTCTTCTTTAATAAAGATACCTTGTCTGTATTATTTAGCTAGGGATAAGGCATAGGTATTTTGAATTTTTAAAATGTTCTCCAAATGATAGTAATAGTAACAGGTGTAGACTTGACTGAGAATTGCTATTTGATGGCCACTGTGCTATGTTAAATTTTAACTTTCCTTCCATCATCATTGTAGACAATGATGTTTTGTTGATTACTGTCCATAACATAAGCGTAGATACTAACTGTATATATCTAAAATAAAGGTTGATTATAATCTAAGCAATTTAGTAGGAAAGTATGTCAACTTGAAGTGAAGATGACATGTGTCCCAGCTTACTTGATATAGTTTCAATTAACTGCTATTGTTTTAGTACAATAATTAGTAACCACCTATTTTGCTTTATAGTTTACCAGTTTAGAAAATAATTATGTAGCCATGTTACTTAAAACTAACTAGTTTTTCTATTGTATTTAGAGCTAGCATGGGATGCATTATATTTATTTATTTTTATTAATTTAACTTTTTAAGAAAACTTTTAGATTCACAGCAAAGTTGAGTGGAAAGTACAGAGAGTTTCCATATAGTCCCTGTTCCTATTCACTTGCAACCTCCCTCACATCCCCACTCTTCACATTCCATACCACAGTGTTAAATCTGTTACAATTGATGAGCCCACATTAATACATTATTAACACCCAAATTCCATAGTTAACATTAGAAATCATTCTTGGTGTTGTACATTTGTGTCAAAACAAATGTGTTGTTTTGGTGTTGTAAATTCTATAGGTTTTGAGAAACATATAGTGACATTTATCTACTATTGTAGTATTACACAGAATAGTTTCATCAACCTAAAAATCCTGTTTTGCCCTCTTGTCCCTTGATATGGTTTGGCTGTGCCCCCACCCAAATCTTGTCTTGAATTTTAGTTCCGATAATCCCCATGTGACATGGGAGGGAACTGGTGGGATGTAACTGAATCATGGGGGCAGTTCACCCACGGTATTCTCATGATAGTGAGTAAGTTCTCACAAGATCTGAAAGTTTTATAAGAGGATTCTCCCCTGACTCAACTCTCATTCTTCTTTCTGCCACCATGTGAAGAACTGAAGCAGAACGTATAAAAAAGTAAAACAAGTTTCTTCTGCCTTACCATTGTCCCTTGTTTTGTTCTCATAATTATTTTTGCAAGTTTTTTAAGTTCCTGTTTTTCCTTTCTGTGTGGCGCAGCAAGGTCACAAGATATGCTTGAGTTACAAAACCTGTTCCTGTTTAACAAACTGCCTTTGTTCTGCTTCTGTAAGCTTGCTTGCCCATCCTACAGGTTTCACGCCATTAAACTGGCCAGCTCCCTTTTAAATGCATGTATAAAAGTCAAGCCCTGTCTTTATTTGGAGCGCAGCCTTTGGATGTTAATCTGCTGGGCTGGTGTGCACCTAATAAAATCCTCCTGTCCTACCCATTGGTCTCTCCTGTCCCTTGATTCCCAAAATAGAACATGTTTGCTTCCTCTTCTGCCATGATTGTAAGTTTCTTGAGGCCTTCCTAGCCCTGTGGAACTGTGAGTCAATTAAAATTATTTTCTTTATAAATGATCTAGTCTCAGTCAGTTCTTTATAGCAGCATGAGCATGAACTAATACAGTAAATTGATACAGCAGAGAGTAGGGTGCTGCTATAAGGATATCCAAAAATGTGGAAGTGACTTTGGAACTGGGTAACAGGCAGAGATTGGAACAGTTTGGAGGGCTCAGAAGAAGATAGAAAAATGCATGGAAGTCTGGAACTTCCTAGAGACTTGTTGAATGACTTTAAGCAAAATGCTAATAGTGATATGGACAATGAAGTCTAAGTTGAGGTGGTCTCAGATGGAGATGAAGAACTTGTTGGGAACTTACATGAAGGTGATTCTTGCTATGCTTTAGCAAAGAGACTGGTGACATTTTGCACCTGCCCTAAAGATCTGTGAAACTTTGAACTTGAGAGAGATGACTTAGGGTATCTTGCAGAAGACATTTTTAAGTGACAAAGCATTCAAGAGGAAGCAGAGCATGAAACTGGAAAATTTGCAGCCTGGCAATACAGTGGAAAAGAAAAAAAATTTTTCTGGAGAGAAATTCAAGCCAGCTGAAGAAATTTACAAAGTAATGAGAAGTCAAATGTTAATCATCAACACAATGGGGAAAATGTCTCCAGGGCATGCCAGAGACCTGTGCAGCAGACTCTCCCATCACAGACCCTGAGGCCTAGGAGGGAAAAATGATTCTCTGGGCCAGACTCACGCCCCGTCTGCTGTGTGCAGCCTAGGGATGTGGTGTCCTATGTCCCAGTTGCTCCAGCCATGGCTAAAATGAGCCAAGGCACAGCTCAGGCTGTGTCTTCAGAAGGTGCAACACCAAGCTTTGGCAGCTTCAACATGGTGATGAGCCTGTGGATGCTCAGAGGTCAAGAACTCAGGTTTGGGAAGCTCCACCTAGATTTCAGAAGATGTACGGAAATGACTGAATGTCCAGGCAGAATTTTGCTATAGGAGAAGAACCTTCATGGAGAACCTATGCTAGGGCAGTGTGGAAGGAAACACTGAGCCTCCAGAAATTAATCAATTACAATTCAGGTTTTTCCACTCCAGCCTAGATTCTAGTGGAGGAGGTTTCTTCTCAAGACTTTATCTCTGGTGAGCTGTAATTCTCTGTTCTGTCTGTCTGGCTCTCTAATGTATGGGACAGCAGTTTGCCTTGTGATCTCACTTCAATGAGGAATCTAAGAAGAGCTATTAATTTTTCAGTTTGTTCAGCTTTTAACTTATTGTTAGAATGGAGTAGCAACATCTAAGATTATTGCATGATAAACCAGAAAACAGAAGTCTTTGTATTATATTTAGAACTAGCATTAAGTATAGATCCCAATTGTTCAATAATAATTATCTTTTTTAGATTTCATTTCTATAATGCTCATTTATTAAGAATGTAACAACTTTCCAATATTATGTTAGATTGCTGGCCAATATATAGATAAATTAACATTGTTTGTTTATTCTACCTAAAGTTAATTAGTTTTTTGTTGCATATGTTTTGCCAACATTTGTGATGTTAATTGTTGATCTGTATCCTTCAGTAACAACTATCATGATTTTAAACTTCATTACTTTGAGTAATATTTATTAATAATATAATAGTGACCAGCATTGTGTGAGGCATATTGGTAAGTATATTACTAAATTTTCATGATCCTTTTCTTTATTTTTTCCAATAGCTTATTTTTCAGTATTTTGCTTTAGCTTTGTTCAAAGTATAATCTCACTTATATCAGTATTTTATTTAAAGTTAAAAAATATATATACATAATTGTTTTCTATACATTTTCTTACTTGTTTTCCAAATATATGTATTTCCATTTACATATATTACTATACATATAATTGTTACAAACATATATTTCCTAGGTTTATCATTATCAAATGTTTAATGAAACTGAAATCAAAACTATTAATCAGGCATTTAAAATTAATATTTAAAAGTCATAATCATCTTAATTATTCTGTCTATATAGTATCTTAAATTATCAAGAATGGTTTATATAATCTCGAATTAAAATAATTTTTATGAGCATTAAATCTATGAATTAAAATAAAGAAGTTTTATATATATATATATATATATATATATATATATATATATATAAAAGTTATTACAACTTGACATTAAAAACGAGATTAACCATAGAGGTTTCTTGGTGACTCTTGTAGATTTTATATTTTACAATTTATTAATATTCAATGTAAATATACCAGGTTTCAATATTTCACATGTTCTTCAAAAGTCTTTCTTTTCTTTAAAGAGTAGAAACTTGTAAAATCAAATTAGTTAGGTCATAACTTTTTTCCTGATTTCATTTCCTCCTACCTTCTCATATTTATTATTTGTATTCTAGAATAAATTCTTCTGTTATTTTTATTTTTATTTATTTATTATTATATTTCTTTTATTCACTTTTATTTTTATTTTGAATTTTATGGGTACACAGTAGGTATATATATTTATGTACCTCATGAGATATTTTGATACAGGCATGCAATGTGAAATAAACATATCAGGAAGAATGAAGTATTCATCTGCTCAAGCACTTATCCTTTGAATTACAATACAATTACATTCTTTATGTTATTTTTAAATGTACAATTACGTTATTATTGACTGTAGACACCCTATTGTGCTGTGAAATAGTAGCTCTTATTCATTCTTTCTAACTATTCTTTTTTGTACTCCTTAAGCATCCTCACTTCCCACCCAGTCCCCCACTACCCTTTCCAGCTGCTGCTTACGATCTTTCTACTCTGTATGTCCAGGAGTTCAATTGTTTTAATTTTTAGATCCCACAAATAAATAGAAACATGCAATGTTTGTCTTTCTGCACCTGGTTTATTTCACTTAACATAATGATCTCCAGTTCCATCCGTGTTATTGCAAATGACTGACTCTCACTCTTTATTATTGCTGAATAGTACCACTGTGTATATGTGCCACAAGAGACTGCTTGGTGCTCTATTTATTCCCTGTGATCATGCTGATACCTAAAACCAGCGAGTCTCAGAGGCTCACCCAAGGCCTTGATGTAGTACTTGGGTGTCTCTGGTGGTTACTCAAAGTCAAGGGCTCTTCAGTAAGCAGGTGATAAATGCTGCCAGACTGGGTCCTTTTCTTCAAGGCGGCAGGTTCCCTTTTGGCCCAAGATGTCTAGAAATGCCATTTGTGAGCTAGTGCCTGGAAATGGGGCCTCATGACCCTGACTGATGCCCTATCCTGCTGTTGCTGAGCTAGTATTCTGAATTCAAGACAAAGTTCTTCCTACTCTTCTCTTTCCTCTCCTGAAGTGGAATGAAGGGATTCTTTTGGAGCCTCTAGCTGTGCAACCTGGGGTTAAGGGTGAGATGATGCCAGCACTCCCTTAGCTGCCCTCACTGGTGTCTCAGTATATCATGTGTCTCCCATTCCCCAGTGCACTGTCTCTGGGTCTACTTAAGCACTAGGATTTGCCTAAGAGTTGCAGTCCTTATGGCCTAGACTGCCTTTCACATTTAGTTAGAGACAAAGAGCACTGTAACCCTTGGTGGTGAGGTTTGCAGGCAGTAAATTTCAAACCACTGGGATCAGCACCTCCCCTCTGGCTAGGGCTGGATTAAATTCTCCCTGCATGGGCAGGAGCCAGCTGAGTTTGGTCTGGTTTTCCCTTCTGCTCTAACAAGATAGCACTGAGTTAAATGTCTCACAATTGCTGTGATCTCACTCCTCCGTACCGAGAGGTGCTCTTTGTACCAGGCTGCCACTGCCAGGTGTGGGGGATGGTTGGCATTGGAGATTCAGGTCATTTTTTTCTATCTCTTTAGTGTCTTTTTCAGTGATATGAAGTTAAAACCAGGTACTATGAGTGCTCACTTAATTTTTGGTTCTTATAAAGCTGTTTTTTTTTTTAATGTGTAAATAGCTGTTAACTTGGTGTCCTTGTGGGGGGAACAATTGGTGGAGCCTTCCATCCTGCCTTCTTACTCTAAATAAATTATTCTTTTGAAATGGGTTATATATACCTTGGTCCTTATAATGGATTATGAATACCAATATTTCTATGAAGATCCTTTTTTACAAAATATAGCTTCATTGGAATATAATTTAAAGAGACTTTGTTATAAAAATAAAACAATTCTAAAAAATTAATGAGAACCTCCACAGATTATCTGTTGAATAGAATAGCCAATCCCTTAAATACCACAATGAGAACCCCCTGGTACTTCTAATAAATACTTTCAAAGGAAAAACAGATAGAATATTGTGGATTTTTGTGTTGTGTTTTATTTAGGCTTCTTTTAATAAATATATTTATATTACACAATGAATATATGTAGAAATAAATTGTTGGATAAATGCTTCATAAACTTGTAGTTTTTAAAGAGAAACCACATTTAAAAATTAATAAAAAGTTATTAGATGTTCAGAGTTTTTGCTACCTGGTCTAAGTTCATGTCTCTACAGTCAATTCCATAAAGAAACTATTAGGTTTGAACATTTTTAATTATCCATATATATTATTCTAAATATCTTACAACTTTTGGCTTTAGATAGATATTTACATATTTGTACAAGCATAAATATTTATGTAAATATATATATATAAGTATATATAAGTATAAGTTTGTGTATATGTACATATGAATCACTTACAAATATATCTGATATACATATTCTGCACTATTTCCTTTGTCTTCTTTTTAAAAGCTTCCTTTTTTAAAGCATGAGATTCTTCATTTTGTATTTGTAGATATCAAAGTGAAATGTGTAATTCCATATAGTTTCTCAAAGTGTTTTGTAAAACTACTTTGATAAAATAACATGAAATGTTATTTGGGAATAGTTTCTGTCTTTATATATACTTAGAAGAATTTTGATTACTCTCAACAATAAAACACTTCAGTTTCCGGCCTAGTCAAAGCAGCAGACTACAGAGTTTTTTTTTTTTTTTATGTTAACATGAGTTTGGAGATAAACTAACATAAATCACATAGAATTTTGAATTATTGACTGTGTTATAATACATTGACACTGAGGGGTTTAGAAAGAAATTTCCTATGGCATAAAATCAGAAAATATTTCTCGTACTATATATAGAAAAATTATTCTTTTTATGACATTTATGGAAAATATTATAAAATAATGCTATTGTCCTAAAAAGGTAGCAAAGTCATCATACTGTATATGGTATACTTGATTGGCAACTTGTTTCTCAATTCAGAGAAAAGGCTGAAAGCAATACATTTAGATAAATGTTAGGCATGTGTATGTTGCAAATTCCTGATTCCTGGTAAATAAACAATACATTTATTTTCTGCCTAAATTTTCTATATTGTCCATGTAAGTATAGTTTACAAGAAATTTAGTTTTTGCCCAAAAGAAACTTTGACAGAAAAACTCACCCCCCCAAAAAAAAACCCCACATTTGACCCACAGCAATTGATTCAGCTGCTCTAAACTATACCTTCATAGAAATGAAATTTGTGTGTGTGTGACTAGTGGATATACTCTCAGGAAAAGAGTAAGATAAGCAAGAGGAAGTAGAAGAAAATGAAAAACTTAGAAGTGATGGGTTATTAATATGCAGCAGACATTTTTGAGATGATAAGAGTGTCTTAAATACCCTGGTAGACTTTCTATCGTTTTGAGAAAAGTGACATACCATTTAGAGGAACTGATATATAAATGCTTTTTTAAAAACCAAGAACTTAATTAAACACACCCTCAAGAAACACATTCACACACATACATACACACACACTACTCCAGGAGATAGTCTTAGTCATTAAGCTCTTCAGATCAAATTTCATTCCCTCCTCCAAGTTCCCTCCCCGAGGAATAGAGAAGAAGGGAATACTATATTTCTGATTAATTATCTTTCATGGCTAAGTTTAACAGTCGCTTACTCATAAATTTTTATTGTGAACTTTGAACATGAACACATATTTTATGATTTGCAGTAACTGTTTGCTAGAATATAGTCTTTTTTAACTAATTTGAAACTTGTCTGATAATGAGTTGTTATGCAACGAGTAAAAGGAGGAACATCAAAACTATACAACTTAGAATTTTAAAAGATGCAGAAAAACAAAAGAAACACAGTATCTATATTCTTAGTTGTCATAAATCAAAAAGGTGAGTTTTGTACATCAGAGAAAAACATAAAGCACAAAGCCTGAGGAAACTACTTAACACATCTAAAGCAGATAAGGGCATCATGTGTCTTATAATAGATGAGAAAGCTGCATCTCATGAGGAGATCAATTATATTTTTTCTTGTTCTTTCAAAACAGAGAATTTACTTGGGCTGGGATTTTAAATTATCTACAAAGTCCTTTGATAATGGGCTCCAAATGGATTTTACAAATAACATGATTTAGTCGCAATAAACAAACATACATTATATCACCCAGAGATTATTGGTTTATTTTGTACCAAATTTTATAAATATAAATAATAACTATGTTGTTCATGTAACTATGTTTTACATGTTGCTCTATTAAAGATTATTCACCTATTATGGTTATATGTATGCTATACATAAAATAAACCTACTTGCAAAGGTATATTTAAAAGCAAAACACTGAACAATGATATAAAAACATCATGAGGTATACATGATCAGTTGCTAATTGAATATTATAAGTACTTTATGCTAGGATATGATTACTTACTCCACAAATATGCATTGTCATTACTTAGTATTGGGAACAATTCTAGGTATTGTTGCTCACTTTATCAGAGAGTATGATTGAGACATTTAATGAATGTTGCTCTAGAGCTAAAAAGAATTATATTCTCACTGGTTGTGAGGTAATTTTGAACATATAGATAATGTTAGAATATAAGCTTTCATAATGCTGTTTCTAAGGAATTTGGTAAGTTTACCAACAGTTCTAAGAAGAAATTTGGTAAACTATTGACATGAGCAAAAATATATATATTTTCTCTGTAAACCACAATTGTATCTCAATATCCCAGAGTCAGACATTGTTGAAAACTAGGATATGAAGTCATACACCTGCAAAAAATGAGACTAGACTTACTTAATAAATCTCTGAAAAGTGACAAACTTATCCTCAAAAATGTATATTACCAGTTGACCCTGGCAGAATTCTAAATTCTCTTAGGTTACAGGACAAAGAGTAGTAATTAAAGGCAGTTATGCAACCCATACTTGGAGAGAACCATTGGGTTCACATGTGGTAATATAAAACCAAAAGAAGATTAATAAGACAAAAGCATAACAAATTTATTTCACCACAGTTTTATGTGACATTTGATCTTTTGGAAATGAAGACCCAGAGACCCAGAGAAAACTGTGTAAGTTGCTAAATCCAGTGAAGGAAGTGTACAGTTGTGAAAAAAAAATGTTTGGACAAAACGAATACAATTTAATGCTAATAAACTGGGGAGTGGGAAGGGAACTAGGGAAGGCCTGTTTTTCGGATTCTTTTCTGTCAGTATATGGCATTTTTTCTCGTTGGGTACAGGGCAGGACACCTGGCATATGATAGTCTTATTGGGTACTTTTAAGAAATGTAGGTCACAGGGTTATTTTATGTACAGCTCACACACAGAAAGGTCAGAGGAGGTCAGAAAATGTCTTCCAATGTGCCGTATTTGGGGGTAGCATGACCTGCACCTCATTGATATGGATCCTTAACTTTCTGAAGGCTTTACATGTGTCAAACTTGTTTACATTCCATGCTCACTAAGTTGGTGATTTTCCATGGCAATGATATTAACCCTCATGCTTGATTAAGTTTATGTTCAAATCTCAAATTAGTTCAATGTGTATTTTCTTTGCCTATACTAATTACTAAATAAAACTTCACAAATTTATAGAACAAAATTACAAAAAATTCATAGTTGTCAACTCATTTGGGTCCTACTCATTAACTGAAAATCAATTATTCTTTCCAAATTAGCACCTCTTCATTTCTCCAGAATTTATTTTCTAAACCTTCTCCATGCTCCACAAAACTTATTTTCTCTCAGTAAATATGTCACTTCCTGCCATACAGCAAAAAATAGAAGATATCAGAGGGACTGCTTTTTTTCTTCACATTTAGCTCTCATTATGTTTATATCATTTTAAAAAATCTAGTATATCCTACATTTTTTGAGACCTTGCATTACACTCCATCCTATTTCTATTCTATATTTTTACTTCATTTATGTAGAAGGGATGGTATTGCTAAAATTATTAAAAAATTGAGAAGACACACAGGATGTAGAAGCTGATAGGTATTTTACCAATGTTATTATTTGCATAGTTTGACTGGACAACGTGGTGGAGATTTCTACCATGCTAATAGATGAAGTTCTTCACTGAGCATCTTTACAACGGAGCTCAACCTGGTTGTGTAATGAGCACCACATGCCAGAATAAAAATGAACAAAATTATGCATTCTAAGACACAAAGAACCAATGTTGGAAAATAAACAAACAAAACAAAACAGGTATATTTTCAAGTATTACATTCCCAGAGCGAAAATAAAACACATGTCAATTGACTTTTCAATGGTAGACTTAAAAACACAAACATATTAATTGCTCAACTTCAACTTAGTTATCAACAGAGTCACTCCATTGTAATCACTTCACTTGAACTGACACCAACCAGTTTTTCAAGTGTGTTTAGAGTTGCCAGATTCATCAAATAGAAACACAAGATATCAAATTGAACTTGAATTTCAGATACACAACAAAATTATTTTAATATAAAAATTGCCATTTTCTGAGATGTATTTATACTAAAAATTATTTTTTGTTAATCTGGTAATCAGATTTAATGAGTACCCTTTATTTTATCAGGGACACAGCCCTAAATGTGTTCTACTATAAAAATCAAAAATAAAAATAAATAATACAGATTTTCAGTTTATGAAAGGCCAGAAAAATCACAGAACTAGCTTCATACCTATATAACATAGTAACCAAGAGAGTTCTCAGCCTCTATAGTAGTGATTCCAAGTAAGACATTGTTCTCAGAAGCAAACAGATGGACCAATACAGACCCATATTGTAGCTAAAAGTCAAAGATTATAACAGAGACAGCAGCATCTGGAATTAGAGGTTAGTGGGGAAGGTGCAGTAAATTTCAAAAAATTTTATACATATAATTTTATACATATAAGAAAACATTTGGATTTTTTTGAGGTTTATGTCTTGTAACATAAACTCAAGAAACAGCAATGTATCATCAAGGAGATAATTGTGGTAATATAATTCCCATATTTTGAAGGGTGAAAATGCCTTTGAATTTTAGCACCTGTCATGTGAAATAAGCCTGCCATCTTGAAAATTGCAGAAATTTCAGTAACTGCAATTTCAGCTTCTAGATATTCTTTGAGAGTTCCTTCATCGTTTTAGTGTTCTTAACACACTTATGTATATTTAGGTGGATTTCTTATTTTGAAGGCTGAGCTGAAGGCCCCATATGTTGAAGATATAAGGGATCTACCTAGTTAAAAGGAAAATGAGCTTGTATTTTAGTAGTAAATATTTAAAGTTAAATTTATAGGATGCTTTTCTAGAATCCTGATCTATGTTTCTTTTTGGTTTTTCCATCTCTAGCCAAATTCTAGGCAGTTACAATTTGCCTTCTATACTGATTACTGCCTTTCAAACCTGACCCACTGGGACAAATATACCACTTTTCATGTTAGCCTCGAAAACATCAACTTTTGCTCAGTCATTTAAAGTAAGACTTAAACAATTCATGCTAGTTAAATAGCGACATAAAACAAAATCTGATATCCTTCTAAACTGAAGAAGATATATCAGCCATTTTCCTTCTGTGTAATCATAATCACACTTTTAAAATTCTCTACCCTTATGATCCATCACCTATAGAAAATATATTATTTACACACAGTGGGTCTTCTCTAATACATTTTCAGACAAGATTCTAGATTTATTAATATATTTTTTTTCAGACAAGGCATGAGCATTCAATATAAACTCAATAATAATTTTTGATATGCTAAAAGTATTTATTAGTAAACAACAACAATGCATTCACGTTCTTGTATAAGATAATTCTGCATATGAGTCCTCTTCCCATTTGTGTAATAACTTATATAAGCCTCAGTATAATATGCTTTTGTCTTGCTTTTCTATCTTTACTGTGAAGAGTCTCCTCACCATGTCTTCCCTTAGATTCCTTGTGCCAAAATTTTACAGATATTTCCAATATCTGTTTAATCAACTATAATAACTGTGTTATTGAAATTAACAAACCAATGTTTTAAGAATCTTATGCTGATGTGTCTGTGTTACTTTCTCAAGAAATCTAAACAAATAGTAGTCACAACCTAGTGTGGCTGTTAGTCATTAAAGTGTTGTCCCTGAATGTTTTATTATTATTGATTGTATTTTCAAATTAAAAAAGAAACTCAATAATTTATTCACTATGGTTATTCTCTGAGGTAGTGCTCCATTCTGAAAAGATAATTTAATTTACTTAAATTAGGTGTAAGTGAAAAAAAGCTACATTTTAGTGTTATTTTGGTGTTGCTAATAGGCATTAATAGTTGAGACACAACTGTTCCAGATGAAACCACCCCAAGTTTGCTCCCTCAGGTTATCCCCATCATCTACTAAGATATATTTGAAGACAAATCATTTTCTAAAGATAATAATTTTTAAAATATTCCAGTGTTCTTATACCATAATACTAAGTGTATATACATTTTATCTTAATCCTTTCCACATCTTTTTAACCCACCTATTAAAATCTCAGTTTCTCTTAAGGAATTTTCCTTTTGCATTTTACTTTAATAGATGTGTTTTGTTGCTGTTTACTCATTTATTGCAATTAATATTTTCTGAGCTTTTGCATATAAGAAGATATGATATAATGTATGATGTATGTTACTGGCAGTGAATCTGTATCTGTATGGGTCTGCAGAAACCACAATTCTTGCCTCCTCAGAAGAAAAAATTCAACTGAGGGGCATGAGGCAGAAGGAGAGATCGAGGCAAGTTTTAGAGCAGGAGCGACAGTTTATTAAAAAGCTTTAGAGCAAAAATGAAAGAAAGTAGCGTGATCCAGTTCCATCGCAAGTCAGCAAAGAATCTACAGGAAAAGTTCATGAAGTTAAACCAGGCCTAGAGAAGCCTGGGGAAACGCACAGACCAGCACAAGGCAATGCTGGGCGACTTGAAAGATCAAGCGCACAATTTGACCCTTAGATTTGTGGTTTTCTACTTTGGCATACTTCTGGGGTCTTGTGTTACTTCTCCTCTAATTCTTCCCTTGGGCTGGGCTGTCCTCACGCCCAGTGGCCTGGTAGCACTTGGGAGAGGAGCATGCGCAGTGTGTTTACTGGAGTTGAACGCATGCTTACTTGAAGCGTTCTTCTCTGACCAGTCCAGCATTCCTAGAGGAAGGTCATATACCAGTTAAACTCTTCCATTGGGTCACTATCCCAACTCCTAAGATCTTATTGGGAAGTTGCTGATCACCATCATCAGTTTCAGGTGTTTTCTATCTATTGGGCGCCTGCCTTTCCCTGGAGGTGGCTGTAACCAATTAGTTTAGGAAGACATCACCTGATCATTCCGTGACCATTGTCTGACCATCACCTGAAGGTCAGCTGACACTCCTGGTATATGTGTGTTGGGGGGCGGTGGAAGCTGTCTCCTGCCTTGCTCATGCCTGAATACTTATCCACTGTAACAAGCATAGGCATTCATCTTACTAGATAGAAGATATAAAGCTGATATTCGAAAGAATAAAATATATTAAACAAAATTGTTGGCTATTAGTCTCGGAAGCAGTTAAGTAATAAATCAAGCCAATTAAATTATATAAATATATTACAACCTTATGAAAATATTAAATAATTCTAAATTAGATTTAGTTGAACATTACTACCTTACGAAATAGAGTGAGATATCAGACTCTTAGCTTACATAATTAGTTTAGGTACATAATTATTTCAAGTAAAAGCAAACTGGCAAATTGTGTAGCATATAGTAAGTGCTCAATATTTATTAGCTTGCATTATTAGTAGTTGTAATGTTTAACTATTTAACTATTTTTGTTGGTGTTGACCTTAACAATTATAATCATATCAAAATTTATTGTCATAATAAAATATAAAATCTGACTTTAACGATTAAAATTGGGAAGTATCTGGGAAAATAGTTGTGTGAAATAGAATAATGAAAACCTATTTTTCATGATACAGAAGGACAGTGTATATCTTGTTTTTTCTTAAGTGAGAAAAATAATTTCAAATTATTAAACTTAAAGCAAAATACTAGTTAAAAAATAACCAATAAATACTTCTTCCAAATTATAAAATATTGATAAAAATACCAATGTACAGAGAGAAGAAGAAAGGAAGGAAAAAATGAAAAAAAAATTATGAGGAGAGACAAAAAAAGAGACAAGGAAGGAACAATGGAGATCAATACAAAACCTGCATAATGAAAGAGAGCAGAGATTTGAAAAATATGGTTTATAAAAATATGAGCATATGAGACAATATTTTATTAAAAATATCAGTAACTTATACATTAAATTTATGGTATTTTAAATGCATATATCTAAAAGAACAACAAAATAAAGCTTAGACTATCAACATAAGATGGTAGCCATAGATAAATCTATAGAAATGGAAGCATGAGGAAATGAAAGACAGCTAATCAAATCAATTTAATTAAAGGCACAATATGTGGTATGAAGAATCATTGCACATTGAAAAATGGTGCAATGCATAAAGACATAATACAATATCAAAATGTAAAATCATTATTCAGACTAATTTTGCAGCTATTAAACTTTCTGCTTAGCAAAGACAAAATAAACAATACTACAAGATGCATCATAGATTAAAAGGGTTAGTTCTTGATAGTTGTTCTGACTTTATACAGTATAAAAATACTTTGTTTATCTTTAAAACTATTATGATAATTGTGTTTTTTTCTTTTTTGAGATGCAGCTTTATCTTGTAGTTCATGCTGGAGTGCAGTGGTGCAATCTCAGCTCACTGCAACCTCCACCTCTGGATTCAAGCGAGTCTCCTGCCTCAGCCTCCTGAGTAGCTGGGAATACAGGTGCCCGCCACCATGCCCAGCTAATTTTTGTGTTTTTAGTAGAGATAGGGTTTCATCATGTTGGCCAGGCTGGTCTCATACTCCTGACCTCATGTGATCCACCGCCTTGGCCTCCCAAAGTGCTGGGATTACAGGCATGAGCCATCACACCCAGCCGATAATTGCATTATTGACTACTTTTCCCGCTACCATTCTAGTATGTATTTCTGCTACATGAGCTCTTAGTTATTCTTTTAAATGTCAGGTGTGTTGCTTTCCTTGTCTTTGGAATTGACTCTGTATCAAAATTTAGTTAACAGAATGAGGTGACAGTCACAATGTTGTCAATTCTGAATCTAGTCCTTAAACGGCTTTGAATGTTCCATTTGCATTCATGTGCTTTCATTATTTTCAAGAGAAGGGAGTGCCTAGGATGAGTGACATGAGAGGTATGAGGGACAGGTAGCCCTGGAAGAGCCAACAAACACAAATTAAATCAGGTCAATAAAATCCTAACTAATCTGCAGACATGTATTTAAGTCTGGATGAGTCCAGAGGACACAAATTCAACAATTTCATGTTATGAATGACAATGATTGTTGTTTTAAGCCGTAAATTAACCCAGTATTTTTGTAATACATGAGACAAATACTTGTATGTAAATATTAACTTATAATTATAGTTTTATAATATTTTAATAACTGCTATGCCCCCTCCTCCATTTCTTTCCAAAAAGAATATGCCAAAATATTAAATCATTATATCTGTCCAAAAATTTCCAGATATTTATGTTTCTTTTTTACTTCTTAAAGTATTCATTTTTAATAAATAAAATATGCATTTTCTTTCACTTTAGGATACATATTTTTCAATTAATTCTATTAATAAAATTATCAGGTTAATACATATAGATTCATATATATGGTTTACATAAATCTCATTGTTTTAATCTCATATTTAATCAACACTTTCATAGTGCTACAGATTTGTGATGCTTTCATATATTTTTTCATTTTATAATAATCTTAACACATATAGTATATATTGCCATACATTTTGCATATAATATAATTAAGATTGAGGGATGTTTCTTTGCCTGTGTTGATACATGCAATAAGCTGGTCAATAAAAGAGCCTGGTTTTTACTTCTTGATTGATAATTTTTATTGAAGTATATTTTTCCAATACTACTTCTTTAGATGTGTAAGCAAAGTCACAAAAAGAAAAGAGCACTTGATTTAGACACAAACAGAGGTTTTTCTATTTGTGTTCTTGTCTCATCCCAGAGATGAGTCATGAGTTTTGTTCTTTCTCTTCTAAGTACCACCTGTCTGTTGCATCCCATAAATAATTGTAGATATTCTGAGAACTGCATTTTTTACTCAGATTAATGAAAAAGAGAGAATTTTAAGATATGCGTATATAACTTCATGAAATATGATAGACCCCGGAACAATGCAGGTGTTGGGAGCACTGACTGCCCCATGCAGTTGAAACTGTGTATAAATTTTGACTCCTTGAAAACTTAACTACTAATAATCAACTGTTGACTGGAAACCTTATTGATAACAAAACAGTCAATTCACACATACTTTTATGTTATATGTTTTAAATACAGTATTCTTACAATAAAAGAAGATAAAGGAAAATATTAAGAAAATCATAAAGAAGTAAAAATATATTTACTCTTCATTAAGTGAAAGTGTAACATCATAAAGACCTTCACCCTCATTGGCTTCACACTGAGTAGACTAAGAAAAAGGAGAAAGAGGAGAAATGGTCTTGCTATCTCAGCGGTGGCAGAGATGGAAAAGGTGGAGGATGTGGAAGGGGAGGCAGGAGAGGTAGGTGCCTCACTTTAATTTTATGGAAATACATTGTAATTCCTGTCTTTTTTGCTTTTTTCTTTAAAAATGTTTTTATACAGTATCAATCCTTCTTTAACCATTTGCTTTAGCCTACAGTGCGTGCATCATAGAAGGGCCCATGTTGTAAAAAAGTCAAAAGCAATCCTGAATAATTGAAATAATTACTCAGTTATTGTTGTAAAAAGTCAAAAGCAATTCTGAATAATTGAACGATGAGATTTGTTTACATCTTGTCAATTCGTTTACATCTTCCTCTTCATTGTCAAGAACTAGGTTGAAAGCATGCCTCTCCATTGGGTCATATTCTGTTAATTGCTCTGTTGTGTCTACAAGCTCTAGAATGTCTACAAGATCCACATCTTAAGACCCCTCACCTTTTAAACGTGCCATATTCATAATCTCGTTCATGTTTTTCTTAATCAGCTTTCATAAACTTTGTGAAGTCATGCACAACATCTGGACACAGTTTTCTACAGCATAGATCTGTTGCTTCAAGCTTGATGAGTTTCACAGCTTTTTCTGTAAGAACAATGACCTCTTAAATGGTATAAACCTTCTAGACTTTTACTTTGTTGTATTTGATTTCTTTTCCCTAGCATTGACAATCATTTCCATAGAATATGTGGGTAATGAGATTCAAAGGTTATTAGGCCACTGATCTGGAGGTAGAATTAGAGACATTGTGTTTGGGGGCAAGTAGACCACTTTGATAACTTTCAGGTTGAACTTCTGAGGTTCTGGAGGGCCAGGGACTTTGTCTACTATCAAAAGAATTTTAAAAGAAAGTCCCTTACTGGGAAAATACTTCCTGACTTCAGCGACAAAATGTTTATGGAACCAAACAAAAATAAATAAATAAATAAATGAGTCTTCGTTGTCCAGGCCTTTGTGTTGTACAAATTAAAGACTGGCTGCTAGCATTTATGTTTCTCTTTGAAGGCTTCAGAATTAGCAGCTTTATAGATAAGGGAAGCTCTGATCATAAACCCAACCTCATTTGTTTAAAACAGTGAAATTCACCTACTCTTACTAGCTTAAATCCTCATGCTTATTTCCCTTTCTTACTAAAAATGTCCTTTGTGGCTTCTTTTTTTCCCCAAAATAGAATACTCTTACCTGCATTAAAAATTTATTCAGGCAAATATTCTTTCTTTTAATGATTTTCTTAATGCCATCTGTGAATTTGTCTGCTGCCTCTTGGCCAGGAGAAGCTGCCTCTCCTGTTATCTTGCTATTTTTTTTTCTTAAGCCAAACCTCTTTCTAAAAGTATCAGAATGTCCCGTCCTTTGCTGGCATTACATTCTCCAGCTTTAGATTTGTCATCTTTCTTTTGCTTTGAGTTGCCATATGATGACTTTACTTTTTCTCAATTCATATTAGTTTGTAGGCATGCCTATCTTATAACAATTCCGTATCCATATAAAAACTGCATTTTCAGTACAAGATTAAAAGGCATTTCACAAAAAGTGCAAGGTTTTCCTGTCTGCTGGCATAGATAGCTGCAGTGATGACTTCATGAATGTCCTTTTTCTTATATACCTTAAGTTCTAGGATACACGTGCAAAACGAGCAGGTTTGTTATATAGGTATACACGTGCCATGGTGGTTTGCTGCACTCATCAACCCCTCATCTACATTAGGTATTTTGCCTAATGCTATCCCTCCCCTAGCCCTCCACCCACCAAAAGGCCTTGGTGTGTGATGTTCCCCTCCCTGTGTCCATGTGTTCTCATTATTCAATTCCTACTTATGAGTGAGAACATGCAGTGTTTGGTTTTCTGTTCCTGTGTTAGTTTGCTGGGAACAATGGTTTCCAGCTTCATCCATGACCCTGCAAAGGACATGAACTCATCCTTTTTTATGGCTGCATAGTATTCCATGGTGTATATGTACCACATTTTTTTTATCTGGTCTATGAATGATGGATATTTGGGTTGGTTCCAAGTCTTTTTGAATGGTGCTGCAATAAATATACGTGTGCATGTGTCTTTATAGTAATTTGTAATCCTTTGGGTATATTCCCAGTAATGGGATTGCTGGGTCAAATGGTATTTCTGGTTCTAGATCCTTGAGGAATTTTCACACTGTCTTCCAAAATGGTTGAACTAATTTACACTCCCACCAACAGTGTAAAAGTGTTCCTATTTCTCCACATCCTCTCCAGTACCTATTGTTTCCTGACTTTTTTTTTTTTTTTCTGAGGTGGAGTCTCACTCTGTCACCCAGGCTGGAGTGCAGGATTGCAGTGACCCAGTCTCAGCTCACTGCAACCTCTGCCTCCCAGGTTCAAGCAATTCTCTCCTGCCTCAGCCTCCTGGGTAGCTGGGATTATAAGCATGTGCCACCACGCCTGGCTAATTTTGTATTTTTAGTATAGACAGGGTTTCCCCATGTTGGCCAGGCTGGTCTTAAACTCCTAACATCATAATCCTCCCGCCTCAGCCTCCCAAAGGGCTGGGATTACAGGCGTGAGCCACAGCGCCCTCCTGTTTCCTGACTTTTTAATGATCACCATTCTAACTGGCAAGAGATGGTATCTCATTGTGGTTTTGATTTGCATTTCTCTAATGACCAGTGATGATGAGCTTTTTTTCATATGTTTGTTGGCCTCATAAATGTCATCTTTTCAAAAGTGTCCATTCATATCATTCACCCACTTTTTGATGGGGTTGTTTGTTTTTTTCTTGTAAATTTGTTGTAGATTCTGGATATTAGCCCTTTGTCAGATGGATAGATTGCAAAAATTTTCTCCCAATCTGTAGGTTGCCTGTTCACTCTGAGGATAGCTTCTTTTGCTGTGCAGAAGCTCTTTTAAAAATAATAATAATGGTCTTTACACTGTATTATTTTATCTTCAAATTGTAGGAGACTGGAGCTGCAGATCTCAATTAATGATACAAATAAAGCAATTCAACTTTGTGTTTTAATGTCATGACTTCTCTGCTTCTTGGGAGCACTTTCAGCATCATTAGTGGTACTTCATATAGGTGCCATGGTGTTATGTAAGGTTTATGGTATTGCACTAAACAGGAAAAGAAATATGAGAGAACTACAACAGATCACCTTTTCCTGCTATACAGAATTTACTGGAGAGATGAACAGCTCATGTGGTGATGAGTAGTGTCACACAGTGTTTTAAATTGTACTCACAACACTTGAGCTCAATGCAACAGCAACAGGTGGTGACTGCAGAAATTCTTACAGTAGTCTGGTATGTACTATAGTTAATTTTATGCAGTTATGATTTAATATTGCATCTTTACATTTGTTTATATTTCTCTCAACTGCAAATGGTAACGTGTAGTCTGTATTTGTGTGCATAAGTTTTGATACATTTTAACTTTTTATAATAGGTTTGTGCATGTTTTTATTTTATTTTATAGTAGTAAATGATAAAATAGATTGGTATCTGCATATATTTCATGCATTCATAACATGCTTAACTTTTTTATTTTTTTGTATTTGTAACCTACATGTTTGTCTATGAGTTTATCAAGTTGTTACAAATCTCAAAAAGATTTCTGTACGTAAGTGGTTCTGTGTAGTTCAAGTTTGTGTTTTTCAATGGTCAGCTGTACTTAAAATTTTTCTAATCTTAAATATTTCTAATTTTATTTTGAACATTAAACTCTAAACATTATGAGAAATACTTGTGTTTTAGCTATGATATGTGTGTGATTTTCTACACATGCATTGGAAGAAGACATTTTGAGCATTCAATTTGATGTATATCAAATATAGTTAACTCATTGTAATTACGATGTTATTAAACTAATTTTGCGGAGTGTGTTTACTTATCATTGAAGTCATTTTGTTTTAGATATGTATTTTCTATAGCCAGAAATAGTCATTTGTTTTTGCTTTTCCAAGTTATACATCATGGTATACGAGGATAAAGAGCAATATATTATTACAAAGACAAAACTGTGATTTTTCTTTTCTTAGCAATGCAACTCACAGTGGCACTAAAGTAAATTTAAATAGCTATGAGAAAGAAATCTCAAATGTGAAAAAGGTACCATACATCAAGAATCCATGGGAGCTTAATTTAAAATAATGGTCCTTGGATGCTTCAAATATTTTAATTCAGTGCAGCTGTTTGGGGAGCCATGTATCTGGATTTTAAACTGTTACTGAGGTGTTTACAATTCAGTTTGTCCATCGTCCTCACATTTGAAATAATACTAAGTTTTTAAACTTAAAAAGCTATGAGTATGTTTTGGTTAAAAATGAAATATTTGCCCTTGTCTGATTTCAAAACTTTCTGTTGTTTTCCTGTCTATAAACTAGAGTGGTAAAAACAGCATCTATTCTACAGAGTTTCCATAAGAAATAAATATTCATAAATCACTTTAGGACAGTGCCTAACACACAGTAAACTCAATAGATGTTAGGTATATATTGTGTTATGCATAAGGGTGTTTTATTTAATAAGGCATATGTAAACTCCAGTGGCTTACTTTGAATCACTGTTGAGTGTGAGAAGTGGAAAGTTATTTTAAAGTGGCATGTACCTGTAGTCCCAGCTACTTGGTGAGGCTAAAGGCAGAAGGATTGCTTGAGCTCAGGAGTTTGAGGCCAGCCTGGGCAACGTAGCAGGACCCTACCTCTGAAGAAAAGGAAAAAAAAAACCTGACAGTGTTTTCAAAATGGTTTTAAAAAACATTTTGTACCATATACTACATAAAATGCCCTTAAAATTATATATATGGGATGTAATAAAAGATTGAAAAGCATAGGATTTTGACATCATGTATTCTCATAGTGACTATTACACCCTGCTGCAATTGTCTTATTTCAAAGATCCACAATGAATGTGTTACATTAAATATGATGCAGTGTAGTTTTTACTTGTCATATTGTTATATGATCTTAACTATCACAGACTCTAATAGTATCATAGTTTCAGTATGCATTCAATAATATTTCATATGGTAATTCACTTTCATTACTTTTTTAATAAGAAAATCTCAAATCAGGTTACAAACAAAAGATTTCCTAATAAATTCTCTGTAGATGGATAGATGAATAGATGATAGAGATTAATTGATTGATCAATCAATAGAAAGCTAGATAGGACATCCACATTCTTATATTCTACTTCTCACAGTTTGCCTTCATACACATTATGTTAGGAACAGAAGAAAATCGAAGCATCTGTTTTTTAAAATTCTTTCCAAAATTAATTATAATATTGGCTTCAACCCTAATATGATTTATATTTAGAATTTTAAAATTTGGCACAGGCAATTAATTGAACTAGCATGACAGGACATTTTAAAATTGATGTAAACACCAAAATTTCTCTATCAAAAGGTGAAATTATTGGTGTTTTGGAAATAAATATAAACAATATTTATAAAAAATTGTATCGTATTTAGAAATTATTCAAAAATGAATAGAATATACACTAAAGTTGTAAAGAATTCAAGTCACTAATACAAAAGAGACATATCATCACTGAAATAGTAATTGTGTCTTATAGAATGTTCTTTAACAATTTTTATGTATCTATAATGATAATTTGTATAAAATATTAAGTATAACAATATTATCTGCTCAAATCTGGAACCTCATGATACAATATGGGACTTTCCCAAATCAAACATTTTTAATAATAATAAACTATACCTACAGTATGTTGTTAGCCTGTTAGCCAATTAAAGTGGTTAAAAATCATGATATTTTAAAATATATGCATTTAATCCTTCAAGAATAAAGACAGAATTAAAAATACTTATGAAAATATTTAACTTCATACAGAAGCTAGAAGTTAAAAATAATTATCTCAACTGAATTTCAAGTATAGTTTGATGTTTGGGAACATTATTCATTGACAAATGTCTTTTCAAATAAACAATTATGCTACACTTTTGTAAGATAAATGCAGATCATCTTTGACTAGAATTTACAGAAGCTTTTCAATCTCAAAACCCCTATCTGTTCAGCATAATAGGCTTTCAAGTAGAAAAAATATTATTGTTAGTATATTACAAGATCTTTGAAGTTTGTTTTGAAGAGGATCTATTATTTTGCTCATTTTTCTATGTTGTATATATGTTAATTTATTTTTGTTCTCTGAAAATAAAGTAAACAGGCATAGGAATGATAAAGCTCCATGAGGCTCACCTATCGTGCACGGCAGTTCTCTAACCAGCATGCTATGTACATTGATCCATTGAGGATGCTAAAGAATCTGGTTAAAAACAGGTTTAATGAGCACCACCTAGAAGTTTAGTTTGAAATTTCTCACTTGAAACTTTCTGAAATAATTAGTGCCATTGAAACATTTTGGAACAGACCTCTAGTTACCTTATGAATTAGAAATCAGTTATTAAGATATTTAGAAAGAGAATAAAACACCTATAAATTCCTAGGGCATTTTTATCTCCAATTACTCACTTTAGAACATTTCTTGATAATGGCATACTCAGGTACAAACAGAACTACTGCCTGTGGCCCTGAAGAGACTGTTCTCAAGCCCCCGGTTCCTACATATCTCTTTATTCCATTAATTATAGTAACTGTCTGTTTCTTCTTCTGTACTTATTTTGGACTGTGTTGCCATTTTTGTCTAGTTGGCTACCACTCACGTTTTTCTAACTTTGACACTAATAGGAAACTGGTAACATGTCTAATGGTCAACTCTTTCAGAGAACATTTAATATAAGAGATATTTTATTCAAAAATACATTTTTAAAAATTTTGTTTTGTTTTGTCATTTATTCTTGGAAAGTAGGAAAAAGGGAAAAGTTTAAAGATACTCAGATGTATCAAAATAGGTTTATGTATATCCATGTTATTGTGAATTACTGAGAGGTGAAGCCAGCTGGGCTTCTGAGTTGGGTGGGGACTTGGAGAACTTTTCTGTCTAGCTAAAGGTTTGTAAATGCACCAATCAGCACTCTTAAAATGGACCAATCAGCAGGATGTGGGTGGGGCCAAATAAGACAGTAAAAGCAGGCCACCCGAACCAGCAGCGGCAACCTGCTGGGGTCCACCTTCCATGGTGTGGAAGCTTAGTTCTTTTGTTCTTTGCAATAAATCTTACTGCTGCTCACTCTTCAGGTCCACACCATCTTTATGAGCTGTAACACTCACTGCCAAGGTCTGCAGCTTCACTCCTGAAGCCAGCGAGACCATGAACCCAATGGGAGGGATGAACAACTCCAGAGTGCCACCTTTATGAACTGTAACACTCACCATGAGGGTCTGCAGCTTCACTCCTGAGGCCAGCGAGACCACGAACCTACCGAAAGGAATGAACAACTCCAGACACGCCACCTTTAAGAGCTGTAACACCCACCGCGAAGGTCTGCAGCTTCACTCCTGAAGTCAGCGAGACCACAAACCCACCAGAAGGAAGAAACTCCGGACACATCTGAACATCTGAAGAAACAAACTCCAGACACACCATCTTTAAGAACTGTAACACTCACCGTGAGGGTCCGTGTCTTCATTCTTGAAGTCAGCGAGAACAAGAACCCACCAATTCCGGACACATTACCACAGTCACTAATCAAGAGATATCATTTTCCATCTATTTTTAGCTCAACTATATATTAGTAGGCATCTCCTCAAACTGTTTAGGTATCATTAAACCCAAAAGCAAGATCCAAAGTACTTGAGATTTTCAATATTGAACTAGATGACAGAGAAAAAAACTGCATTTTTCCAGTCTAATTTTAACACCTATGCCACAAGAGCTTGTCCTGTCTCATTATATTAAATTGGATCTTAGTCTCCTTAACCTAATATTTAATATTTGTTACAACCGGTAAAATTATCATTTTATTGGATAGGGAAACAATCACATGCTCTGAAATAAATGGAATGATAATAATGTCTATGATTACAAATTCTCCGAATTGTCCTTCCTATCTGAGCAAATTAGAGCAAAAGCTATGTAAACCCCAGGCAACTGTTATTTTGTGTGTGTGTATGTGTGCGTGTCTGTGAATGTGTATGTATGTGTGGTATGTGTGTCATAATAGGAAACGTCTGCTTCTAATGTCTTAGTTAATTGACTATTACAGTATCTGATTGTTTTAAGGACAATAACATATGGAAAGTAACAAGACCATCAACCTTTCAGAAGACCACCAAGGAAACCTGTTGATGGAGCAAAGCTAAGTTTACTAGATAACATTTGTATGGGAGACAAATCTGAGCATGTACTCAGTGGATGTCAAAATGCTGAGACTGGGGAAAGATGTATAGGATTTTAGGGTTTGGGATGTTTATTAAATAATAACTTTATAATGGTGAGCACAGTGAGGCTAGTGACCCTTTATGGGCAACCTGTAATTTTTATATGAAAGACATTTAATTTACCCACAGACGTTTTCCAGAAGCAAGTATGTTCTATTACAGTTAGCTAAATTTTTATTTCTCACTTTTGGTATTATTTTACATAGGGACATATATACATTTTTGTTCCCATACATGACATTTTAACACAAGAACAGGAAAGGTTGTTTCTTCATAGTATTATTTAACATAGAGACAGAAGAAAGAGCCATTTTAAGCAAAAATAAAACAACCACCACAGCAATGATCAAAACAAAACCACCACAACCACTTTGAAAAACAAGCAAACATAATCCTTTTAGTTTGTGTGTGTGTGTCAGTGTGTGTGTGTTTAGCTCTTAAAAAGCTTTTAAAAAGTTGCATAGAAATATTTTTAACGTGGTAAAAAATACATAATATAACTGTTTCTATATAATATTTGTTTTCTGTTCTAACCTCTTTTTTGCTCATAGATTGGTTAAATATTTTACTAAATGTAGGAAAACTGAACTTTTCTGTTGCCACTGAGTCAAAAATTACAATACCTGCCTGCAATTACTACTGGATCATAGGTATCCTGACAGTAGAGACAAAACTTATCTCAGTCTCCTTTTATGGAACTAATGACTTCACTTCTAATAAATAGAATGTGACAAAAGTGACAGGATAACACTTCAGAGATTAGGTTATAAAAGGCAGTAACCCTGTCTGGCTGCTTCTCTCTCTTGGTCTTTTACTTGCTTTCTCTGATGAAGCAAGCTGCCGTCTTCTGGGGCTGCTTACACGTCTGAGTGGCAAGTAATTGAGAGCATCCTTCAGCCGACAACCCACAAGGAACTGAATCATGCCAATAACCACCTAAGTGAGCTTAAAAGCAGACTCTCCCTCTGTCGAGCCTTGTGAAGACAGCTACAACCACCCAATACCTTAATTGATGCCTTATGAGACACTGAGAGACAGATGATTCAGATAAGGCACACCTGCCTTTCTGACCCACAGAAGCTGGCACAATATTATTTGTTGCTTCAAGTTGCATAATTTTAAGGTAATTTGTTATTCATCAGGAAAATGAGAAAGGAGATATTTGGGGAACATCAAGAAGTCTCTGCCACAGGCATAGAACATTTAAAACAGAGGGTAAAATATTTTAAAGAATATCTAAATATCATTACTATTCAGGATATGGTAATGTATATATCCAAATTATACCTGGTTTTAATTACACTCTATGACAATGAAGAAAACATATAAATTTTGAGACTAAAAATACTGGAAATTATTTTCTTTGTAAGCACATGATTGATCTGTTTTTTAATAATGCACTAGTTTTTTTATTTGGTGCTATTAAATAATAAAACAACAATTGCCTTAGTTACTAAAATCACTTATATGTTCACCCCTAAATTACATAAATTACTTTTGCTACTTTTCAAATTCACATGAATAAAATTATGCTGAATGGTTCTTGAACTTTCTTTCTTTAGCTAATATTATGTTCGAAAAGTTCATCCATTGTTGCAATTAACCCATTTATCTTCACATAATTTTATTATACTATTCTACAAATTGTGTATGTATTCTATTGTTGATGTGAACTTAGGATGCTTCCATTTTTTGACAGAATTAATAATACTTGTTTGAAAATGCAAGTACATATAATAAATGTGTACAATTTTTTAGCATGTATTTTATGGAATGGGATACTGAATCCTGGATGTTGGTATCTTAAAAATTATTTGATGACGCTGAACTATTTTCCATAGTCATGAGATTACTTTGCATTTTTATCAGTAATTTATGAATTTTGTTGTTCTACATTTTCTAAACACTTGTTCTGATTATCTCTTGCATACAACAAATTTTCCCAAAACATGGTAGGTAAAACAAAAAGTAATTATTCTGTAAGACATTTCCTGAAGTTGATAGCTCTTGGCTAAGCATTTGTCATGTGAGTTATCCCATGCAACTGCAATCAGGCTGTGATTGAAGAGACATTTTGAAGCCCAACTCACCCAAATACTTGGGAGTTGATGGTAAATTTCTGATGGACTCACACCTTGAAATATCAGACAGAACCACATACATAAGGATGCTGGAAGTGCAGTGGATTTTCTCATGACATGGTGCTTGGGTCTTAAAAGGGAGTCCCCCATGATGACAAGACACAAAACATTTTACCTTTTATGAACTAAGCTTGAAGATCACATAACATACTTTCTGAAATAGTCTGATTCCTACTCAGATTCAAGGACAGGAAACATATTCATCCAATTTTCAATGACAGAAATACAGCAGGCTGTAGAAAAAGCACGTGTTATGGAAAATCTTGCTGCAGCCATTTTCTAAGACACAATAATCTATGGTTTTGTTGTTGTTATTGTTGTTGTTGTATAGGACTTTCAGTAAGTCCAGTGTTTGTGTGTTGATATCTTACTTTGGGTTTAATTTGAATTACACTGATTACTTGAAAACCTTTTGTTAAACAGATACATAAATATTTCAAGTGGAAAACAGTTTTTAGTATCTATTTGCCAAGAACTAAAACTCTCTCAGAATTATGAAGATATCTTTCCATATTGCACTTCTTTATATAATAAAACTTTTAAAATAGCCTTTATGTATAGGAAAATTACAAGTTCACCACAAGATATGCTTTGCCTATGATCCATTTGCAAGCTGTCACATGAAGTAGCACCATTGCTAAATACATAAATAGACATTATTAATAATGAGGGCATTTCTCTACATAATTTAAATATCTAAATACTAAAATAACATTGATAATGACATCAATTATTCAAACTCCATGTAAAATTTGCTGTATCCAAATATTTATATCAGCCTGGGCATAGTGGCTCCTGCCTGTAGTCCCAGCTACTTGGGAGGCTGAGAGGAGAGGACCCTTTGAGCTGAGATGTTTGAGGCTGCAATGAGCTGTGATTATGCCACTGCACTCTAGTTTAGGTGACAGAGCAAGTCCCCATCTCTAAAAACAATAAAAAATTGAAAAAATATATCTGTGACTTATAACTACCTTGCCAAATTCTGCAAATATAATTCAGGCATTGATTGTGATTGCCCTAATTCACATGGTAATTTTGTTGTAATTGTCAATTTACAATATTTTTCTCCAATCCATGATGTCTAAGAGCTTGTCTTCTGAACCATTAATGTGAATAGAGATACCCAATTTTTACAAAAGTATTTTTGTTTTAATTTTCACATTGATATCAATAATGCAATTGATGTGGTGATTAAGAAATAGTATAGTGTTATAAAGTAGGTGAAACATCTGGTATTTTTATATGATGCTGTTGTTATGTAATTTGGCACAACACATTTAGACAAAATATTTGGTGGTTTCTGCTAGGGCTGAAATATCATATTACCCAGTGGTTGTACTCCTAGGTACATATTTCCACAAAAACATGTCTATATGTTTACAAAAGACATGTACAATAATATTAGTAGCATAACCAGTCCTAATAGCCTTCTTAAAGATTGGAAAAAAAAAAGTGGTTTCTTTCCCACTCTCTACTGTCACACAGTCACCCAATGCTTTTGACACTAGATATATGGGTATCCTCCACTATGCCCCAACAAACCAAGCAATTTTCCAGAAGATTTTCCAGTGGACACCAACTGGGTGTCCTCAAATTCAATTCTGAGACTACCTGGAGACAGCATCAGGTCCTACCGGTAAAGGGCTCAGTTTCACAAGACTGCCTCCCATTTCAGATACCATTTGCAAACACAGGTGGTGACCCATGCTTTCTACTGACTGATTAGACTGATTATAAATCAGAGTTCCACAACCCTCTCCGTGGATTTGATTAATTTGCTAGCATGGCTCACTAGAGCTCAGGGAAATACTTTCCTTATACTTATCAGTTTATTAGTAAGAAATACATAAAGGAAACATAAAAGCAGCAAGGCGAAGAGACACATAGGACAAGATATATGGGAAACGACACAGAGCTTCGATGCCTGTACCCTAAGGAACCTCCACATGTTCATCTATGGAAGGCCATTTGGATCCCATCCCTTTGGGTTTTTATGGAGGCTTCATTACATAGACATGATTGATTATATCATTGTCCATTGATTATAAATTCAACTTTTAGCCCATTTTTTTCTCTCTGGAGTTCAGGGGCTGGGGCTAAAAGTTCCAACCCTCTTATCACATGTTCCTCTGTCAACTAGTCCCCAGCTTGAAGCTTTTCAGGAGCCCAGCAAGATTTGCTTCACTACAAGAGATGTTCCAATCAGGCCAGAAAATTCCAAGGGATGTAGAAGTTTTGTACCAGGAATCAGGGTGAAGGAGCACATATTAGAACAAAACATTATCTGAGCACCTCTATTTACAAGGGTATTGGTTGCTCAATAACTGGGACAGAGACCAAACATTAAAATAGAAGATTCTTCTAGCACTCCTGTAGCTCAGGAAATTACAAAGTTTTAGGAGCTCTGTGTCAACTACTCAGGACAGAGACCAATATATATATTTATTGTTATTTCACAAGCCCCAAACTAAAAACAAAATATTCTTCAATGTTCGAATGATTAAACAAATTGTGTAGTTATTATGCAACTTTGAGGATCAACAAAGTAATACCACATGTAATACCATCAGTCAATTTCAAAAACTTAATATTGAGCAAAAGAATCCCGACACGAAACAGATTATATTGTAGGTTGGTGTGAGGAAAAAAAGGCAGAAACAATTGATGACATTAGAAATCAGGATAATAATATTATCTATGAAGGAGATTCCTATTGACCTAAAGTTTGTATTCTTCCAAAATTCACAGGTTGAAGACTGAATCCCCAATGTGTGGGGTATTCTGAGGTGGCGACTTTGGGAGATAATTGGGTCTTGAAGTTGGAGCCCTTATGAATGAGATTAGAGCTTTTATAAGTGAAGAGAGCAGAGCTTGCTCTCTTTGTGTGTCATGTGAAGATACAAAGAGAATACAGCCATCTATTAAGACAGAGCAGGGCCTTCACCAAGAATCCATCTACACTGACAACCTGATCTCAGATTTCCAGTCACAGGAACTGTGAGGAATAATTCTTTTTTTTTTTTTTTTAAGACAGAGTCTTGCTCTGTCACCCAGGCTGGAGTGCAATAGTGCAGTCTTGACTCACTGCAACCTCCTCCTCCCGGGTTCAAGTGATTTTCATGCCTCAGCCTCCTGAGTAGCTGGGACTATAGGCACATGCCACCATAGCCTGCTAATTTTTGTATTTTTAGTAGAGACGGGGTTTCACTATGTTGGCCAGGCTGGTCTCAAACTCCTGACCTCATGATCCGACCACCTCAGCCTCCCAAAGTGCTGGAATTACAGGTGTGAGCCACTGCCCCCGGCTGAGAAATAATTTTTGTTGTTGTTGAAGCCACCCAATGTATGGTAATCCTAGAAAATATGAAATGTTTGTGGATTGATATATATGAAAGAAACCAATTTTCCCCAAATTTATCTGAAGGTATATTATATCACCGCAATATTCTACAGGCATTTTGGTTTGTTTCTAATCTTTATAAATTTAAAAATGGCTTTCCTTTTGAGACATAGCTTTTGGCTGGCCACTGGGCCTTAGAAACTAAATATTTGACTATGGGCCATCAAGTTACCAGACAGCCTGAGATGTCCATAATGAACTGGGTGATATCTGACCTACTAAGCCATAATTGGGAATGCACATAAAACAACAACAACAACAACAAAAAAAAACAGAAATAGTATACAAGTAGCCATGTCTGAGTAGGCCCTGAACGCACAAATTGCATAAAGTGGCTCAAATGCCCATGGTCCCCACTCCTGCTATGCTGTCTTTTCTTTTGCAAAACAGAAAGGCCTGCATCACTGGCCTTGTGGAGAATTCTTTACATTCAATTGACAAACAAAGAGAAGACTACAGCCTGATTTACAAATAACTGTGCATAATATTCAGGCTGCCCTCAAAGTGGACAGCAAGAGCAGGACAACCCCTTTCTGAGAAATCCCTGAAGGACAATGGTGAATATGTGATTATATATTAAATCACAGGCTGTAGTCAGTGTTTTAGCTGGATGGGCAAGTAGTTGAAAGGAACACCACTGGAAAATTGGTGACAAAGAAAAACAAGGAAGAGGTAGGTGGATAGACCCCTGTAAATGGGCAAAAAACATGAAGATGTTTGTGTGTCATGTGAATGTTCACCAAAGTGTGACCTCAGCAGGTGGGGATTTTAATAATCAAGTGGATAGGATGATTTGTTCTGCAAATACCTGTCAGCCTCTTTTCCCCAATGACCACTGTTAGCCAATAGGCTCATGAACAAAGTGGCCACAGTGTCAATAATAGAGGTTATTCGTTGGCACAGTGGCATGAACTTCTCACAAAGGCCAACGTGGCTATGGCCACCACTAAGCACCCAGTCAGCCAGAAGCAGAGACCAACACTGAGCCCCCAAGAGGACATCATTTCCTATGTGACCAGTCAGTTACCTGGTGGCAGCTTGATTACACTGAACTACATCCATCATGGAATGGGCAGAGTGATGATTAATATTAAATGTCAACTTGATTGGATTGAAGGATGCAAAGTATTCTTGCTGGGTGTGTCTGTGAGGGTGTTACCAAAGGATATTAACATTTGAATCAGTGGGAGAGGCAGAACCACCCTCAATCTAGGTGGGTACCATCTAATCAGCTGCCATCACAGCTAGAATAAAAGCAGGCAGAAGAACATGAAGGACTTGACTTGCTGAGTATTCCAGCCTTCTTCTTTCTCTCATGCTGGATGTTTCCCACCTGCAAACATCAGACTCCAACTCCCTCAGCCTTTGGACACTTGGACTTACACCAGGGGTTTGCCAGGGCCTCTCAGATCTTTGGCCACAATCTGAAGATTCCACTGTCGGCTTCCCCACTTTTGAGATTTGGGGACTCACACTGGCTTCCTTGCTCCTCAACTTGTAGATGGCTTATTGTGGGAATTTACCTTGTGACAATGTGAGTCGATAGACTCCCTTTTGTATATAAATCTATGCTATTAGTTCTGTCCCTCTAGAGAACCCTAATACAGGTAGTGTTTGCTGTTACTGGAATAGATACACTTTCTCTGGATACATACTTGCCTTCCCTGTACATATTGCTTCTGCTAAACCTACCATTCACAGACTAAGAGAATGCCTTATCCTTCATTATGCTATTCCACACAGCATAGCTCCTAGCAATGAACTCACTTCACAGCCAAAGAAGTGCAGCATTGTGTCCATGCTCATCATTGAATTCACTGGGCTCACCATGTTCACCATACTGAAACATCTGACTTGATTAAGTGGTGGAATGTCCTTCTGAAGACTTGGTTACAGCACGAGTTAGGTAGCAATAACTTGCAGAATGGAAACTAGATTCAAATTTTTTTTTGCTCTGAATTTGTGTCTAATATTTTGTACTGTATTTTTGATAGCCAGAACTCATGGATCCAAGAATCAAGGGGTGAAAATGGGAGTAGCATCATTTATTGTAACCTCTAGTAACCCACCAGCAATTTTTTTTTGCTTTCTGTTTCCACTACATTATGCTCTGCTGGCCTGAAGAGCTTAGTTCCCCAGTGAGAAATGATTACTGCAAGAGACACAACAATGCTTCAATTGAACTGGATGTTAAGAATCACAATCAGTCATTTTGAGCTCCTGATGCCTCTGAATCAACAAGGAAAGAAGAGAGTTTTGGTGTTGATTGAGGTGACTGATTCTGACTCTAAGGGGAAATTGGACTATTGGCTACGGTTTGAATATGTATTCCAAAGTTTATGTGTTAGAAAATTAATCCCCAATGCAGTGGTGTTGAAAAGTAGGACCTTTAAAAGGTGATTAGGTAATGAGGGCTCTACTCTCATGAACTACGTTAATATTGTTATCATGGGAGTGGGTTAGTCAGCATGGAAGTGGTTTCCTGATAAAAGGATGAGTTCAACTCCCTTCTCCCTCCTCTGTCATTCTTGAACATGTGCTCTCTTGCACTTATCCTTCCACCAGGACATGACACAGCAAAAGGGCTCTCACCAGATGCTGAGCAGACCCAAGCGCCATGCTCTTTTGGACTTCTCAGTCTCCAGAACCATGATCCAAATAAATTTCTATTGTTTATTATCAAATCTGTGGTATTATTATAGCAACACAAAATGGACTAAGATATTATTACTTCACAGTGGAGGTAAGGAAGGGTATGTCTGAGATATAGTATCAGATATATCTTAGAGCATCTCTTAGTATTACCAAGCTATGTAATTAAAGTCAGTGAAAAACTGCAACAAAACAATCTAGAAAGGACTATTAATAGCACAGATTCTTCAGGAATGAAGGGTTTTTTTTCCTACCACACAGGTAAAGAATCATGACCAGCTGAAATGCTTAATGAAAACAAAATGAATATAGAATAGGCATTAGACAAATGTAGTTATAAATCCTATGTTTATGCACAGCTACAACTATGTAACTGGCTCCAGAAATAGTTTATCATAAAATTTTCTCCTTATTTTGTTATGAATATGTTTGTGTGTATATGTATTAATACATATATTAATCAAATATCTTTTTTTAGTCTTATTCACTTACCATGTAACATAAAGTGTTAGCTTTATACTGGTGTGTAAGTCCAGTAGTTCAATGCTTAACCACGAATATATGTTCTGAGAAATGTGTCCTTAGGTGAGTTCTTTGCTGTATGCACATGATAGAATGTACTTTAAGAAACCTAGATGCTATAGTCTACTACACACCTAGGCTATATGGTATAGCCTATCACCCGTAGGCTACAAGCCTGTGCAACGTGTTACCATACTAAATACTGTAAGCAATTGTAACACAATGGTATTTGTGTATCTAAACATGCTTAAACATAGAAAAGCAATAAAAATAGAGTATAAAAGTGTAAACCGAAAAGCATCTGAAACAAGTCTCAATCAATTTTGACCGTTTATTTTGCCTGGGTTGAAGACCTGCCTGTGTGATACAGCCTCAGGAGGTCCTGACAACATGTACCCAAAGTGGTCAGGGTACAGCTTGCTTTTTACATTTTAGAGAGCCATAATACATCAATCAATACATATAATATTTACATTGGTTTGATATGGAAGGGTGAGGCAGCTGAAAGTGGGGGCTTCCAGGTCATAGGTATATTTAAACATATTCTGATTAGTAATTGATTGAAAGAGTTATTATCAGTAGAAAGAAGTGTCTGGGTTAAAATAAGGGATTGTGGAGACCTTGGTTTTATCATGCACAAGCGGCCTCCAAGAAGCAGGCTTTAGAGAGAATAGACTGTTAATTAAATGTTTCTTATTAGGTTTAAGGTCTGTGTTGATGTTAATGCTGGATGGGGTATAATAAGGCCTGTCTGACCCCTACTTTCTGTCATGGCCTGAACCAGTCTTTCAAGTTAAATTTTAGAGTGCCCTGACCAAGGAAAGAGACCATATAGAATGGTTTGGTGGTCTTTAAATATTATTTTTGGTTTACAAAAGATAAAAAATGATACACCTGTATAGGGCACTTCTGAATGTAGCTTGCAAGACTGGAAGTTGCTCTGGGTGAGTGATTGAGTAGTGAGTGAATGTGAAGGCCTAGAACATTACTGTACACTACCATAGACCTTATAAACACACTTAGGCTAAACTAAACTTACTTAAACATTTTTCTTTCTTCTATAATAAATTGACCTCCGCTTACCATAACTATTTGATTTCATAAACTTTTTTATTCTTTCAAACTTTTCAACTCTCAGAATAACATTTAGCTTACAACACAAACACATCGTATAGCTATAAAAACCTATTTTTGATATTCTTATTCTATAAGCATTTTTCTATTTTTAAAATTTTATTTTTCTTCTCTTTTAACATTGTTGTTAAAAACCAAGACACAACCACACACAATAGTCTGGGCCTACACAGTGCCAGGATCATCAATATTTTCACCTCCACATTTTGTCCCATGGGAAGGTCTTTATGAGCAATAACATGCATGGAGTTGGCATCTCCTATACTAACAATGCCTTCTTCTAGAATACTTGCTGAAGGAACTGCCTGGTACTGTTTTGCAGTTGTCAAAAGTAAAACTTTAGCCAAATTAAATTTAGAAGAGTTTAATTGAGCAAAGAATGATTCATGAATCAGGCATCCTCCCGAGCCAGATGAGGCTCAGGAACTCCATGCAGCCATGTGGTGGAAGAGAATTTATGGACAGAAAAGGAAAGTAAAGCACAGAAAATGGAAGTGAGGTACAGAAACAGCTGGATTGGCTATACCTCAGTGTTTGTCTTATTGGAACACGATTTGAACAGTTGGCCACATTGGATTGGCTAAAACTCAGTGATTGGCACAAGAGTAGATCACAGTCTGTTTACATTCCATTTAGGCTATAGTTCGAGATCTACAGAGAAATCTTTAAGCTGAACTTAAAATATGTAAGAAGGCAGCTTTAAGCTAAACTTGATTTAACACAGTCAATTTTTTCATTAGTAACAGGCACACAATTTAAAATAATGATATAAAGAATATTATAGTATATACATAAACCAATAACATAGTCATTTATTATAATTATCAAGTATTAGGCACAGTACATAATTGTACATGCTATACCATTTACTGCTGGCAAGACAGAAGGTTTGTTTATACCAGCATCACTACAAACATGTAAGTAATGTATTGTGCTTGAAGTTACTATGGCTACAATGGCACTAGGCAATCAGAAATGTTTAGTTCCATTATGAACTTATGAGATCATGACTCTATACCTGGTTTGTTATTGACCAAAACATTATTATATGGTGTATGACTGCAATAGTATATAAAAGATAACAAAGTATGTTAAAAAAAAAAAACCTCTGTTTATGAAGTAAAAGATAATATCAAAATATATTTAAAATAATAACATAGAAAGTTTATGACTTGTTTGTGAATTAGTGGAAGCATTAAGTAAAAGAGGTCAATTTTCTCCAAATTTATTCAAAGAGATGTTATCTCAATAAAATTATCTATAGGCATTCTTGTTTTTATTTTTGTGAATGGTGAAAACTGAAAACCACATATAAGTATATGTAAATTAAAATTTTCATATATATTAAAATATATGTAAATATATGCAAAATTAAATAAAAAGCCAGGGAACTCTTGAAGGACAACTCAAGAGCACTTGCTCTAGCAGATATAATAAAGTATAATGAAAACTGCAGCAATTAAACCAAGGCACTATTATAGACCAACAGGGTAAATTAAGGTCAGAAACAATCTTACATGTATACTGTTGGGAAAATATAATTAAACTGAAATCTTCTTCTAACCCAGAAACTCCATAAAGGTAAAAAAGAAAGAATATAATTCTAATATTAATTAACCATTAAACTATAATGTGATGCACGTCATAGGCAATCTACTAAGAGAAGGCAGAGACAAATAAAAATCTCTTCTTTACATAACCAAACAGAATGCAACCCACTTGTGATAAGTAACTTAATGTATGAACTTGACTGAGCCAAAAGGTTCCCAGACATTTGGTAAAACATGATTTTAGCTGTGTCCGTGGATGTGTTAATCTGGATGAGATTAACATTTGAATTAGTAGATTTAGTAAATCAGCTTGCCCTCCCTAAGGTGTGTAGGTCCCATTAAACCAGTAAGGCTTTAATATAATGAACCAGTAAGGCTTTAATATAACAAATCAGAATATAGCAAAAAGGGTGACCTTCACACCAGTAAGAGGAAACTCCTCCTGCTTCACTGCCTTTAAGCTGGTGCATAATTTTGGTTTGTTTGTTTGTTTCTCATGCATTCTGACTGGAACTAAAGCATCAGCTCTTCCTGGGTCTTGAGCCTGCCAGCATTCAGACTGAAACTAGATCATCAATTCTCCTGGTTCTCCAGACTTCAGTCTTAGACTATAACTACAACATCATCTCTCCTGGGTCTTCAACTTGCCCGATACACATCTTGGGACTTGTTACCTCACATATCACATGAGCCAATTCCTTATAATATGTCTTTCCATATATTGATTATATTTCTGTGAAGAACTCTGGCTAATACACCACAATATACATATTCTCAAGATACAAAAATAACTATTCTTCTATAAGAGAACTTGACAGCACCATTTGTCACACATAGCTTTTTCTAAACTCATTTAGTTGTTGGAGTGCCCATCTATGTTAGTTATTTGGCTTTATCCAGAGGAAAATAAACTTCTCATATCTTTTATGACAAGTTGGTAGTTTTGCAATGTGGAGTGAGGTGCCAGCTGAAGTTATGCTCTTACCCTCCCACAGAAACTTGGAGATAAGGACACTGTCTTCCTTGATGTTTCTGTATCAAAGAGACGGTTCCTAGGCCTTTGAGAAAAACAGTCGAGCGTCTTAAAGCTGGCAAGAGGTTTATTTAGCTATTGAAAAAATTTACATATACTTCAAACAGACAAAGAAAAATCTTAAAACTACAAATTTTTACAGTAAGTGCTCTAAGAACAGGGAGGGGTGAAAGTATCTTCCCTTATTTTCAAGAAGAAAGATTAAGCCTTCATTTTTTATTTGTATTTGCCCTTACAATCTCCTTCCTGTGATATCAAGGAATAATGATGTTATAATTATCTAATTGCTTCTACCTTTTGGGGTGAAAGTTGCAGGAGTCTAAATATCCAGTAAGTCCATAGTAAAATAGAAAAGCAATTATCAGAATTATGATAGAATAACAGAATTGCTATTTTTTAAAGTCAGCACATTATTTGCATCAGAGAGATAACTTTTGAATTTACCATACCAAAAAACCCAACAAATCATAATCCTAGCAATGTATAAAACGTTTTAGTCAAATATTAATTTGTCATGTTTGTATTGTTTAAATTTTAAATAATTAGCAATTTAAATCTTATTGTTAGTTTTACGTAAATCCTTACCCAATCCAAGCCTAAACAGGATCTTAAATTCTGGAAGCCTATAACCTTTAATAAAGGGTTTTACTTGCAAGGCCTAAAGAATGTCTCCTGAGTGTTAGTCTATCACATATCATTACATCAGCATGACAATTTAAGCCCTTTAGTAATTGGTCTTCTTAAGTAATTTTGCCCAGTTGTGAAATGCCAGACATCCTGGCAGGCATCCAGTATCAAAGTCTTATAATAAAGCACCCATTGAAAGGTACTGATTGAACTTCTGATGTTTAATGCATATAGCTCTAATTGTTTTAAGTCTGGAGGACACATCTGCCTTTTATCTTTATTGTATTATGTTGTATGGCATTACATCATAGTGTAGTGTAGCATAGTGTAGTGTAGTGTTGTGTTGTGTAGTGTGTTTACATTGGACCTAAATATATAATTACACCATTAAAACAGTTAAAACTTTTGTGAATAACAAGCATCCACCTTTGTTTATCTATCTATACTGGGACAGGAGAGAATTTGCGTCTCAAAGCTCTTTGAGCAATATAAGACCTGTCTTGTACTCTATACATTGTAGGGATCACAGGAAAACCTTCCCTTAACCATCTAATGGTTCACTGAAAAATCAACTGACAAAAGGCAGATTAATAAAAGGAAAGACATATAAAGACAAAGTGGGGAGGAATCACAGAATGATTACCACAACCTCTCAAAGGGGATGCAGAAGTTTATACAATATTGAGGTTACAGAAAGATGAGAGTTTACATCATGACAAAACAGATTATGGGAAGGGGAGAAAGATGAGACCTGGCTGGAAAAGGTAGTCTTTTTATGTCAATGAAACCTCTCTTGGTGGCAGCCCTGAGAGACAATAGATGATCAATGGTTTCTCAGACCTTTAAAAGTGTCAGACTTTCAGTTAATATTCCTAAACTCACACAAAGGAAGACCTGGCTGTGTCAATCAGATTTTCACTACAGATGCAAATCTACCCCACAAAATACAGGTTTTTAGCTATTCTTGTATTTCCAGCCAATCGGAATAACTATCTTAAACAATGTCAAGGCAATAACATATTTTGAGGTAAAATATTTTTGTTTCTTTCACTGTAATTAGCAGATTTCTACTTGTCTATTACTCGTATTTGTATGTTTTTTTATCCCCCACAAGTCTTCCAATCAAACCAGTTACCAAAATATTTTTGTATCAAATTTAGGGCTTGAGTGCCTAATGCATATCAATTACTTTTACTTTGTTATTATCAAATGTAACAATGGATATGGTTCCTACTTTTACTTTTTGGATAATCAGAATTTTTAAGTTGTTAAAATATGCCCCTGGCCAACAGAAAAAATGGACTCCCCAAGTGTATCAGCCCATTCTTGCATTGCTATAAAGAAATACCTGAGGCTCACAGTTCTGCAGACTGCACAGAAAGCATAGCAGCTTCTTCTGGAGAGGCCTCAAGAAACTGATAATCAAGGCAGAAGATGAAGAATAAGCAGTCATGCCTTACATGGGTGGAGCAGAAGACAGAAAGAGATGGGGGAGGTACCACACACTTTTAAACAACCAGATCTCATGAGAACTCACTCATTTTACAGTACTACTGGGGTGGTGGTGCTAAATCATTCATGAAAACTCCATCCCAAGGCAGGGACAAGATGGCTGACTAGAAGTTGTGGTGCTCTGAGGATCCAATGGTAAAGATCCAAAACGCTGTGCAAATCCTGAACCAGCAACCGAGGTATCCAGGTTCTGTCATCAGGACTGACTAGGTGGCTAGTGTAACCCACAGAGAAGAAAGAAGAGCAGTGTGGTGCGGCAGCCCACCTGAGAGCCACACAGGGCAGGGAAGCCCCAGCCTCCAGCCAAGGGAGGCAGTAAGTGAGTGTGCTACCCAGCCTGGGAACCTATGCTTTTTCCACGGAACTGTGCAACCCATGGATCAAAAGAAGCCACTCATGAGCCTACGCCACCGGTGCTTTGGGTTTCAACCATGGAGCTGTGCAGATTCTCACTCAGCTAGAATCGGCCTAAGCTGGCAGAATTCCCAGAAGAAGGGATGGCCGTCACCACTGCTGCAGCTGCCTGCTGTCTAAGCCAGCTGAGCTCCTTGCAGAAGGGGGAGCAGCGAATAGTGCAACTGCAGGGCCTCCTTGCAGGAATTCCAACTCCAGCCAGGGACTCAGGGACAGAACTCTGATCTTCCTGGGCCTGAGCTCCTATGGGGAGGGGTGACTGTAGTCTCTGTGGACCAGTAGATGTAGTCTTTCCTCCTGCTAGCTCTGAGGAATCCAGGAAGCCCAGACAAGTGTGTTCCCCTTAGTGCTACACACTCCCTCCGCCTAAGTATAGCCAAAGTGGTTCATTAAATGGGCCCTTCTTCCCATGCCACCCATCTAGGTGAGACCCTCCAACAGGGGTGGTCAGACATCCTATACAGAAGCCTTCTTACTGGCTTCAGGTTGGTGCCCCTTGAGGTAAGACATCCCAGAGGAAGGAGCAGGCACCTATCTTTGCTGTTCTTCAGCCTCCTCAAGTGACATCTCCAGGTGCAGAAGGAAACCAGTTGAATAGGACCTGAAGAAAATCCCCAGCAAAATGCAGCAGCTCTACAGAAGAGAGACCTGACTATTCAAAGAAAAACAAACAGAAAACAACATCAACAACATCAACAAAATGTCCCACAAAAACCTCTTCCAAGGGTCAGCAGCCTCAAAAATCAAAACTGGACAAACCCATGAAGATGAGAGAGAATCAATGAAAAACCACTGAAAACCCAAAAGGCCAGAGTGCCTCTTATCCTCCAAATGATCGTAACACCTCTCCAACAAGGGCACAGAACTGGACAGAGGATAAAATGGATAAATTTACAGAAGTAGGTTTCAGGAGGTGGGTAATAACAAACTTAGCTGAAGTAAAGGAGTGTGTTATAACCCAATGCAAAGAAGCTAAGAACCTTGATAAAAGGTTAGAGGACCTGCTAACTAGAATAACCAGTTTAGAGAGAAACATAAATGACCTCAGGGAGCTAAAAAACACAGCATAAAAACTTCATGAAGTGTAGACAAGTATCAATATCTGAATCAATCAAGTGGAAGAGAGAATATAGGAGATGGAAGACTATCTCGCTGAAATAAGGCCGGCAGACAAGATTAGAGAAAAAAGAATGGAAAGGAATGAACGAAACCTCTGAGAAATATGGGACTATGTAAAAAGACCAAACCTATGACTGATTGGAATACCTGAAAGAGACAGGGAGAATGGAAACAAGTTAGAAAATGCACTTCAGAATATTATCCAGGAGAACTTCCCAGACCTAGCAGGAGAGAATAACAATAAAATTCAGGAAATTTAGAGAACCCCACTAAGATACTCCATAAGAAGATCAAGCCCAAGACTTATAATCATCAGATTCTCCAAGGTCAAAATGGAGGAAAAAATGTTAGAGGCAGCCAGAGAGAAAGACTACATCACCTACAAAAGGAAGCCCATTGGACTAACAGTGGATCTTTCAGAAGAAACCCTATAAGCCAGAAGAGAGTGGAGGCCAATGTTCAACATTCTTAAAGAAAAGACTTTTCAACCCAAAATTTCATATCCAGCCAAACTAAGTCATAAGTGAAGAAGAAATAAAATCCTTTCAAGACAAGTAAATGCTGAGAGAATTCATAACCAACAGACCTACCTTGCAAGAATTCCTGAAGAAAGCACTAAATATGGGAAGGAAAAACCACTACCAGCCACTGAAAAACACACAAAAAATATAAAGACACTATGAAGAAACAGCATCAACTAGTGTGCAAAATAACCAGCTAGCACCATGATGACAGGATCAAATTCCCACATAAAAATATTACCCTTAAATGTAAGTGGGCTAAATGCCCCAAATAAAAGACACACCATGGCAAATTGGGTAGAGTCAAGGCCGATCAGTGTGCTGTTTTCAAGAGACTTCTCTCATGTGCAAAGACACACATAGGATCAAAATAAAGGGATGGAGGAAATTTGACCAAGCAAATGGAAAGCAGAAAAAAGTAAGGTTTGCAATCCTAGTCTCTGACAAAAGAGACTTTAAACCAACAAAGATAAAAAAAAGACAAAGAAGAGTATGATGTAATGGTAAAGGGATCATTTTAACAAGAAGAGCTAACTATCTTAAATATATATGCACCCAATACTGGAGCACACAGATTCATAAAACAAGTTCTTAGAGACCTACAAAGAGACTTATATTCTCACAAAATCATAGTAGGAGACTTTAACACCCCACTGTCAATATTAGACAGATCAATGAGACAGAAAATTAACAAAGATATTCAGGACTTGAACTCAGCTCTGGATCACATGGACCTATAGATAGCTACAGAACTCTCCACCCCAAAACAACAGAATATACATTCTTCTCAGTGCCACATGACACTTATTCTAAAATCAACCACATAATTGGAAGGAAAACACTCCTCAGCAAATGCAAAGAACTGAAATCATAACAAACAGTCTCAGAGACCACAGCACAATCAAATTAGAACTCAGGATTAAGAAATTCAGTCAAAACCACATAATTACATGGAAATTGAACAAACTGCTCCTGAATTACTTCTGGGTACATAATAAAATTAAGGCAGAAATCAGGAAGTTCTTTGAAACCAATAAAACAAAGAGACAATGTACCAAAATCTCTGGGATACAGCTAAAGCAGTGATAAGAGGGAAATTTATAGCATTAAATGCCCATATCCAAAAGCTAGAAAGATCTCAACTCGACCCCCTAACATCACAACTAAAAGAACTAGAGAAGCAAGAGCAAACAATTCCAAAAGCAGAAGACAAGAAATAACTAAGATCAGACCAGAACTGATGGAGATAGAGATGTGAAAAAACCCTTCAAAAAATCAATGAATGCAGGAGCTGTTTTCTTTTAAAGATTAACAAAATGGATAGACCACTAGCAAGATGAATAAAGAAGAAAAAGGAGAAGATCAAGTAGACACACAATAAAAGATGTTAAAGAGGATATTACCACTGACCCCAAAGAAATACAAACTCCCATCAGATAATGTTGTAAACACCTCTACCCAAATAAACTAGAAAATCTAGAAGAAATTGATAAATTCCTAGATACATACACCCTCCCAAGACTAAACCAGGAAGAAGCTGAATTCCTGAATAGATCAATAACAAATTCTAAAATTGAGGCAGGAATAAATAGCATACCAACCAAAAAAGCCCAGGACCAGATGTATTCATAGCTGAATTCTACCAGAGGTACAAAAAGGAGATGGCACAATTTCTTCAGAAACTATTCCAAGCAATTGAAAAGGAGGGAGTCCTCCCAAACTCATTTTATGAGGCCAGCATCATCCTGATACCAAAAGCGGGCAGACACACACACACACACACACACACACACACACACACACACACACACACTTCAGGCCAATATTCCTGATGAACATTGCCAAAAAAATCCACAATAAAATACTGGCAAATCAAATCAAGCAGCACATCAAAAAGCTTACCCACCATATTCAAGTCATCTTCAACCCTGGAATGCAAGGTTTGTTCAACATATGCAAATCAATAATGCAATCCATCCCATAAACAGAACCAATGACAAAAACCAGATGATTATCTCAATAGATTCAGAAAAGGGCTTTGATAAAATTCACCCTCACTTAATGTTAAAAACTCTCAATAAACTAAGTATTGACAGAACATATCTCAAAATAATAAGAGCTATTTATAGCAAACTCACAGACAATATCATACTAAATGGGCAAAAGCTGGAAGCATTTCCTTTGACAACCAGCACAAGACAGGTATGATCTCTCTCATCACTCCTATACAACATAGTATTAGAAGTTCTGACCAGGGCAATTGGCAAGAGGAATAAATAAAGAGTATTCAAATATAAAGAGAGGAAGTCAAATTGCCTCTCTTTGCAGATGACATGATCCTATATTTAGAAAACTCCATCGTCTTAGACCAAAAACTTTTTAAGCTGATAAGCAACTTCAGCAAAGTCTCAGAATACACAATCAATGGGCAAAAATTACAAGCATTCCCATGAACCAAAAATAGACAATCAGAGAGTCAAATCATGAATGAACTCCCATTCACAATTGCTACAAAGAGAATAAAATTCCTAGGAATACAGCCAACAAGGCAAGTGAAGGACCTCTTCAAGAACTGCAAACCACTCTTCAAGGAAATCAGAGAGGAAACAAACAAATGGAAAACCATTTCATTCTCAGGGATAGGAAGAATCAATATCATGAAAATGGCCAGAATGCCCAAAGTAATTTATAGATTCAATGCTTTTTCCATCAAACTACCATTGACATTCTCCACAGAATTAGAAAAAAAAAAGTTAAAATTTATATGGAACCAAAAAAGAACCCTCATAGCCAAGACACTCCTAAGCAAAAAGAACAAAGCTGGAGTCATCACACTACCTGACTTCAAACTATACTACAAGGCTGCAGTAACCAAAACAGCATGGTACTGGTATGAAAACAGATATATAGACCAATGGAACAGAACAGAGACCTCAGAAATAAGACCACACATCTATAACCATCTGATCTTCGACAAACCTGACAAAAACAAGCAATATGGAAAGATTCCCTATTTAATAAATAGTTCTGGGAAAACTGGCTAGCCATATGCAGGAAACTAAAACTGGACCCCTTTGTTACACCTGATACAAAAATTAACTCAAGATGGATTAAAGAATTAAATGTAAAACCCCAAACCATAAAAACCCTAGAAGAAACCCCAGGACATAGGCGTGGGCCAAGATTTTATAAAGAAATCACCAAAAGCAATTACAACAAAAGCTAAAATTGACAAATGGGATCTCATTAAACAAAAGAGCTTCTGCATAGCCAAAGAATCTGTCATCAGAGTGAACTGGCAACCTACAGAATGGGAGAAAACTTTTGCAATTTACCCATCTGACTAAGGTCTAATATCCAGAATTTACAAGGAACTTAAACAAATTTATAAAAAACAAACAACCCCATCAAAAATAGGCAAAGGATGTGAACAGACAGTTCTCAAAAGAAGACATTTATGTGGCCAACAAACATATGAAAAAAAACTCATCATTACTGCTCATTAGAGAAATGCAAATCAAAATCACAATGAGATACCACCTCATGCCATTTATAATGACAATTATTGAAAAGTCAAGAAACAATAGATGCTGGAGAGGCTGTGAGAAATATGAATGCTTTTACACTGTTGGTGGGAATGTAAATTAGTTCAATCATTGTGGAAAATGGTGTGGCAATTCCTCAAGGATTTGTAACCAGAAATACCATTTGACCCAGTAAGCTCATTCCTGGGCATATATCCCCCAAAATGTAAATTATTCTATTATAAAGATGCATGCACATACATGTTTATTGCAGCACTCTTCACAATAGCAAAACATGGAGTCATCCCAAATGGTCATCAATGATAAACTGAATCAAGGAAATGTATATATACACCATGGAATACTATGCAACCATAAATACATATGAGATCATGTGCTTCACAGGAACATGGATGAAGCTGGAAGCCATCATCCTCAGCAAACTAACACAGGAACAGAAAACAAAACACTGCATGTTCTCATTCATGAGAGTTGAAAAATGAGAACACATGGACACAGGCAAGGGAACAACACACATCAAGGCCTGCCAGGGGTCGGAGGGGAGAAAGAGCATCAGGACAAATAGCTAATGCATCTAGGGCTTAAAACTTAGGTTGCAGGTTGATAAGTGCAGCAAACCACAATCTCACATGTATATCTGTGTAACAAACCTGCATATTGTACACATGTATCCTGGAACTTAAAGTAAAATAAATAAATAAGTAAATTGTAATAACTCCACCCCCATGATCCAAACACCTCCCTGGAACTTATAGTAAAATAAATAAATAAATAAATAAATAAATAAATAAACTCTACCCCCATGATCCAAGCACCTCCTATCACTACCTTCCTCCAACACTGGGGATTACAATTAGACAAGATTTGGGTGAGGACACAGATCCAAACTATATCACCAAGGCTACCTGGGGCTGTCAAAGGTCAGTAGAATTAACCATGTTTGGTGAGGGAGTGGTCATGTGCTCTGTGTTCTCAGAAAGAGGTTAAAACTGTCCCAAATAAAATTTTATGAAATCAATTAAGGGTCAATAAAATAAAATTTAAGTTGGCTTGCAGGGTAAACAGCAACAATCCTTAAGCCAACTTGCCTTTTGGCCCACTTCCTTGAGGGTGATCAATGATTAGCTCCTGATATGGTTTGGCTGTGTCCCCACTCAAATCTCATTTTGAATGGTAAATCTCATAATTCCTACATATCCTGGGAGGGACACTGTAGGAGGTAATTGAATCATGGGGGGTTGTGGCACGTCTTTCTTGTGCTCTTCTTGCAATAGTGGATAAGCCTCAGAGATTTGATGGTTTTAAAAAGAGGAGGTCACCTGCACAAACTCTCTCTTTGCCTGCCAACTTCCACATAAAATGTGACTTGCTCCTCCTTGCTTTCTTCCAAGATTGTGAGGCCTCCCCAGCCATGTGAAACTGTAAGTCCATTAAACCTCTATTGTGTAAATTGCCCAGTCTTGGGTATGTCCTTATCAGCAGCATGAAAAGTAAGTAATACAGTACATTTTTACCAGTGGAGTAGGGTGCTACTGTAAAGATACTCCAAAATGTGGAAATGACTTTGTAACTGGGTAACAGGCAGAGGTTGGAACAGTTTGGAGGCCTCCAAAGAAGCTAGGGAAATGTGAGACAATTTGGAACTTTCTAGAGAATGTTGAATGGCTTTAACCAAAATTCTGATAGCCATATGGACAATAAAGTCCAGGCGGAAGTGGTCTCAGATGGATATAAGAACCTTGCTGGGAACTGGAGCAAAGGTGACTCTTATTATGTTTTAGCAAAGAGACTGGTGGCATTTTGGCCCTGCCCTAAAGATTTGTGGAACTTTGAACTAGAGAGAGATGATTTAGGGTATCTGGCAAAATAGATTTCTAAGCAGGAAAGCATTTAAGAAGTGACTTAGGTGCTGTTAAAAGCATTCAGTTTTAAAAAGGGAAACAGAGCATAAATGTTTGGAAAATTTGCAGCCTGACAATGTGATAGAAAATAAAATCCCATTTTTTTTAGGAGAAATTGAAGCCAGCTGCAAAATTTAGTAAGTAACCAGGAGCTGAATGTTAATCCCCAGACAATGGGGAAAATGTCTCCAGGGCATGTCAGAATTGTTAGTGGCAGCCCCTCCCATCACAGGTCCGCAGGTCTAGGAGTAGCCCTGCATCCCAGCCACTCCAGCCATAGCTAAAAGGGGCCATCATAGAGCTTGGGTGGTGGCTTTCCAGGGTGCAAGCCCCAAACCTTGGCAGCTTCAACGTGGTGTTGAACTTGTGAGTGCATAGAAGTCAAGAATTGAAGTTCGGAAAATTCTGCCTAGATTTCCGAGGATGTATGAAAATGCCTTGATGCCCAGGCAGAACTTTGCTGCAGGGGCAGGGCCCTCATGGATAACCTCTGCTAGTGCAATGCAGAAAAGGAATATGGGGCTGGAGCCCCCACACAGAGTCCATGCTGGGGCACTGCCTAGTGAAGCTGTAAGAAGAGGATCACCATCCTTCAGACCCCAGAATCGTAGATCCACCAACAGCTTGCACCATTCACCTGGAAAAGCCACAGACATTCAACACCAGCCTGTGAAAGCAGCCAGGTGGCAGGCTATACCCTGCAGAGCCACAGAGGTGGAGCTACCCAAGATCATGGGAACCCATTTCTTGCATCAGAGTAACCTGTATGTGAGACATGGAGTCAAAGGAGATCATTTTGATGTTAAGATTTAAGATTTGACTGCCCTGCTAGATTTCAGACTTGCATGGAGCCTGTAGCCCCTTTGTTTTGGCCAATTTCTCCATCATAAGCAGAAGAGACTTGCCTGTCTCAGATGAGACATTGGACTGTGGACTTTTGAGTTAATTCCGAAATGAGTTAAGACTTTGGGCTACTGTTGGGAAGGCATAATTGGTTTTGAGATGTGAGAACATGAGATTTGGGAGGGGCCAGGGGAGGAACAATATAGTTTGGCTGTGTCCCCGCCCAAATCTAAGCCTGAATTGTAACCCCTACAATTCCCATGTGTTGTGGGAAGAACCCAGTGGGAGGTAATTGAATCATGGGTATGGGTCTTTTTTATGCTTTTCTCACAATAGTGAATGAGTCTCATGAGATCTGATGGTTTTATTCAGTAAACATAGTATTGTGTACTCTAAGTCTCATGTTTTTATTTAGTGAATGTACTATTGTAGTATTGTGTACTCTAAGTCTTATATTTTTATTCAGCAAATGTACTATTGTGTACTCTAAGTCTTATGTTTTTATTCAACAAATGTACTATTGTGTACTCTAAGTCTTATGTTTTTATTCAACAAATGTACTATTGTGTACTCTAAGTCTTATGTTTTTATTTAGTAAATGTAAGATCTGATGGTTTTAAAAAGAGTCACCCCCTCCACAAACTCTCTCTTTGCCTCCTGCCATCCATGTAAGATGTGACTTGCTCCTTTTTGCCTTCCACCATAATTGTGAGGCCTTCCCAGCCATATGAAACTGTAAGTCTATTAAACCTCTTTTTTTTTTTAATTGCCCAGTTTCAGGTATGTCTTTGTCAGCAGCATGAAAATGGACTAATACAGTACCCCAGGAAAACATAGCCCTGTCACAGGACTCTTTATTCCTTTTCTTTTCTGTAGATGAAATCTAAGGCATTGTGAGATGATAAGCATTCTAGTCGAGTTCCTCCTTTAGGTTCTGCATATGAGAAAACTACTGATGCCAGCTGTTCTGAAGGGCCCAGTAGGAAGCTGACCCATGGAAGAATGTGTTTTCCACACCCTGCAAATTTCACCCCTTTTACCCCAGCCAATCAGCAATCTCAATTTTCCAGCCCCTGACGCTCCACAATTTCCTTAAAGGCTTTTGCCCAGAACCCCTTGAGAAAATGGACTTGATGCTTGAGAATTCCTTCCGTTTCCTTGTTCAGAACGCTTGGCAATTTTTAAACTTGTAATTTGCTGCAAGCCCTGCTGTCTCAGTGTATTGGTATATTGCTATACAGTGGGCATATGAACCTGGCAGTCCTGCAACAATGTTATGAGTATGTCCAAGGACATCCCTTTCTATAATGGAGCCAAACCAGTTATTATTGTGGATGCAATATCAAGACTGCAACTAAAAATTTCCCAGATGACTACTAACAGACCACCTGGTACCAACCCACAGATTTCCTGGAACCAGCCAATTAACAGAGACTGGTGATGTTAGGCTTAAAGGTGGTCCAATTAAAACTCTGCCCCTCACTTCCCTGACTCCTCTCTCTTGCTCTGCTGCTTTTGCATTTATAATCTCTAACTCTCCAACCCCTCTCAGAGCACATTTTCATTTTACATTGGAGGCTGAGGCTCTCCAATCTGAAAATTGCTTTTTCATAGAAAATAGTTGTACATTTTTATGCTGCAGATCTCATGGCATTTTTTAAAAAAAGTCTACACTCTCTTAAACTGGGATTGTAATTTATAGCTGATCAGAAAATAGAGTGTGGGAACTATTACTGGAGTTACAGAAAGAAAATAGTAATGTAACAAATGATATATTTGTTTTATAATAAAATGTGATTTTCAATAAAGCAATTGAAATAAAACTACTGTGAATAAGACACAAAGGCAATCTATGACATATTAGTTATTTTGCTAGAATATTTCCTTTTGCTTTTACCACTACCAGTTAACCTAAAAAAATATAAGTTTTAACTCATTTGTAGGAATTATAGACCAGTATTCTTGAGGTGGTAAGCATCATATGATGAACACAAATCCAGTATTGCTTTGTTTTGTTGGTTTTCACTTTGCTAGCCGTGTGAATGCTTGGCAGCACTTGAAAGTGTCTCGCCCAGTGCAGTGATGGCCTCTCTTTTCTGAAGAACAGTTTTTCTGTAGACAAAACTCTAGTCAAAAGAGTGGAAGACTTCTAGCAGATCTTTCTGGATCCTTTTGACTTTTTGCCTTAGGGTTTCTATAGAAGAAAGTTATTTTAAGTATTAAATGTGATTATGGCACTATCCAGTTAAATGAGACATAAAACATTCTTTCAGATGCAAATTTATAGGTCTGACAAACATAAATTGAAAGGAAGAGGTCCTGTGCTTGTTTGCAGGTCACTGTAATATTTCACAAAGCCAATTATAAAGCTCTAGCCATCTTAACATACTAGGTTGCAGAATTCCAGTGCTGGGACTCAGAAACAATACACTAAAACAAAAGCATCAAAAGCAAAAGTTTTTATCTGACCTACTCCTGCCCTCGAGTCTCTTAGTCCTATTTCTTCCAAGGTTAGCCATAGAAACTATAATCCCTCTTGCCAAGACAGGTCATAGAACACTTTTTCTCTAAAGTCAGCCATAAAACCTAAACTTATTACTGAAACTTTCATTCTGCCTTTCTGTGTAAAAATTGGCCATAAAAATATTATCTGACTTGCCTTGCTTGACTGTAGGTCATAAGATCCTCATTCCAGAGAAGGCCCTGCCCCACACCCAGAAGGAAGACATGCATGCTCAGAGGACTAAAGAAAAATCTAGATAGACAGGTCTTGCTGGGTTTCTCCACTCAGTCTATTAACATTGGATTAGACACTTTCTTCCAATCATATTTCTCCATGGCTATCCATACTTTATTTAACATAGGCATACAAATGGACAATTTCCCCTGTATCTTTAGGTCTACAATCCGAAGGCTCCCATGTATACATGTTAAATAAAATTGTATGCTTTTTCTCCTATTAATCTGTCTTTTCCAAGTTGAATTTTCAGTGAAATTTCAGAGGGCCAAGAGTTCTCCTTGGCCTCTACATAGGCATAATCATAGTCTGGTAATTTTAAAATCACTTTTTAATTCAGATAACTTTGTTGATGATGCAGCATCACTAACCAAATAAACTATGATACAACAAAAATTTTGTTAGGTAACTGCCATAGTCCAGCCAAATTTCTATTAGCATCCTATATAATCCATTTCTCTATTTTCTTTCATGAAACACATATTTGAAAATGAATAAATTTTTTTGTTGTATTAAAAGTTAAGTTTCTAAATTTGGCGTCTGTCATGTTTTAACAGCTCTTGCATTTCTATCAGGAAAATTACTCCCTTTAGAAACTTCCTCCTTCTGTCCTATGTGAGCACTACGATGCATTGCTGTATCTGAGTAGGCAGTTGTAAAGCCTTTGACAAAACAGCTATCATTTTTTCATCAGATATTTTAGTTCTCATGAAAAATTTCTGCACTTAAAAATTTGCTCTATTGCATGACAGATGCTAAGTATACATATGGGGAGAGAGAGAGAGAGAGAGCGCCTAAATCTCTGACCGCAAAGAAATCAATATATACCATCTGCTTCTTGATGTTTCTCTTTTACTACGTGTAAATAATTTTGAAATTTTTATACTCTAAACTAAATATCAGTTCCACTTATTGCTATTATTTTATAGTTGCTTATCATAGTTACATGACAATTCTCAAATATTACAAAATGCCTTAGTTATATATTCACCAAGTTTGTTTGTTGGAAAAGAGAAAATTTAAGCGTTTAACACTAATAACTCAAAATGTAAAAATTGAGTGCCTGTTAAATGCAGGTTACTGTAACAGACAAAGGGTACATGGGAAAGTGACACAATACTAAAAAACAAAACACAACCCTGGAGATTGTAATTAAACTGTTCGTTAATTTCCTGATTGATTCTCACAGATAAATAATTTTTCAAACTGTGAGTTCTCATCTTCAAAACAAAGGTAGTGGTATCTGTTTATCTTGTCTGAGTTGTAATAAGATAGTAAAGCAGATAGAAGAGAAAGCCTAGGGCATGGAAATTAAACCTGTATACCATAGTGTGTGTAACTGACAGATACGTCAAGTGATGTTATTACTAGAAGTCTCCTCCTTATGAAAGTAATAAATTCCCTTTATTATAAATAACTCCGTCTCAGATATTGTTACAGTAGCATAAAACAGAATGAAACAGAATTTTACAACACATTTGTAATACATAAGTGTATTAAATAGTAACAATTCTCCCATGCCATTTACCATTTTCTCTTTTATTATTAACATTTTTATCCCTTCTTATTAATGTCATTTTCCTTTTAGGCAAGAAATATGACAGAAATCTCAGTATTCTTTAAACTTAACACAGAGTTTTCTGAATCTGTAGGATTTATTCCAATTAGGTCAAACATATTTTTGGGGGATCTGAATCAATCTCTAATTTAGAGTTCATTTCTCATTAAATATTTTGTCATTTTCTTTATTAATCCTTATCTAATTACTATGCCTTGAGAGTTTCTACAGCATGTTTCCACCAAAGATAATAAAATAATATTCTATATGGATACCATAAAAAGACACATATTTTTTAGCTGTTTAATTTTCAGCATAATTTAAAATATAGCCATGCAAGTATTAAATATAGATAATCAAAGAACATCTTTACATATGTAATTACATCATTCATATATTTTGATTGTGGACAATTGTAACAAATCTTTCAACATGCATAATTACATCATACAGTAGCTTATTAAAGAAATATTAAAAGAGACTATACATTATATCATTAAATATGTTAAATTCAGAAAATCTCACATACTGGGAAAATTTACTATGAGCTGAAATAATGTATGCCAGGTCTCAATTATTATCAGTTTTTAATGTAAGCCATAGAAGCATTTTATGGTGACTAACATTTGGTAAGATTTTCTGCTTTAGTGAGTTAACTTGATACACATTTAAGATGAGAGTCTGCCAGAAACAAATAAATGTATTTATCATGACTGCCCACATGTGCATTGCACTTAAAGGAGTAATGGAAAGAAAAAAGAAAAAAAATACCACAGGTCATTTGTTTGTTTCATAATCTTAGATTCATAAAATAAATTCTTGAAAGTCTAAATATTAGCATTTTTCTTGAAAATAAGACATAAATTAAGACATTTTAGTAACTGAGATGATACCTAAAGAAATTTTGTATATTGTATTATTAACATAAAAATATAAATCATGTAAGTCCCTTACCATTTCCTCGGCCTATTTATGACAATTCCCTAAATAGCAATAATAGAAATCAGACATTAGATATATAACTACTGAGCCATTTTTATCCTAGAACACAATCCCTGACTTACTCTTTACTTAACAAGACATAATAAAATATACTCTCAGGGTAATAAATGTATGTCAGTTCCTAGTGATATATACATGTGTTTAGAGAAACTTTTCTTTAATCAGTGTTTATATATGAAGTACTATTAACAGTTTAAAAAAGTAAAAACATGACTTTCATATAAATACAAAATTAATGTGTCAAAGATTTTATTTAACTCATTAATTAAACAGGATGCCAACAATATATTAAAAATGGTTTAAATGAGAATTTGACATGGAGAGATGTATGTTTTCTAAAGTTTCATTCACATTGCTGTAGACAGAAATTATTTATAGTGCAATAATCAACAAACATTTGCATAGGTTTTATTTTCTGTTGCTTAATTTTTCCCTCTATAGAGCTATAAAATAATCTAGCTTACAGAAAGATATTAATTGTACACCATTATACAAATCAGATTATTGCAGAGAATCTACTAGACAACTTCAGCACTCTGCATGCAATATGTTGAATTAAAGAAGTAGCCTGAGTTTAGCGAGTCGGAAACTTTTATAATGGGACGTAAACTTGTCTGTCTCTTGTCCTAGAGGAAACACTATCTTTATTATACTGAAAAGCACAAGAAATCTGTATCTCCCTAGCAGAACCTAATTCAAAACCTGATCGTAAAACATTATGGTAAGGCAATCTATGGTCTTGTTTTCTTTTAGGACAGAGTCCGCAACACACAGGCCACGGACTGCTACTCACAGGCCACACTATATGGCCTGTTAGAAACTGGGCCGCGCAGCAGGAGGTGAGCAGCAGGCAAGCCAGCAACCAAAGCCTCATCTATATTTAGAGCCGCTCCCCATCACTTGCATTACCACCTGAGATCACCTCCCATCAGATCAGCAGTGGCATTAGATTTTCACAGGAGCATGAACCCTGTTGTGAACTGTGGGTATCTAGGTTGTGCATGCCTCATGAAAATCTAATGCCTGATGACCTGTCACTGTCTCCCATCATCCCCAGATGGGACCATCTAGTTGCAGAAAAACTAGTTCAGGCTTCCACTGATTCTACACTATGATGACCATATAACTCCTTCATTATATATTACAACGTAATAATAATAGAAATAAAGTGCGTGATACATTTAATGTGCTTAAATCATCCTGACACCATCCCCCCTCCATCCAAGGAAAAATTGTCTTCCACAAAACCAATCCGTGGTGCCAAAAATGTTGAGGACCACTGTTTTAGGGTACAGGGAGGGGCAGAATGGAGGAAGAATAAAGAGGGGGTTGACAGAGAGTAATCAGCATATATATGTTTTTCAGTTTATTATTTTTCTTTACAGTGATTGAAAACCTATGTGTTTAATTTATTTTCTCCGTAAGCTCTAGATCCCCAGGCAAAATTCATCAGCAGGTGATAACATGAGATGGAAATAATGCCAAGGCTGTCACTCTACTAGATGATGCTCTTGTAGATAATTTTAGAAAAATGCAGGTAACAGAGTTCATTCAAGAGATCTTCAAGTATTAAACTCTCCATATTTACCCTGACAATGCTCTTTTAAAGAACTGTCTCCCTAAGTATTGAACACCTAATCCTCAGGGGTGGGCACACTGAGAGGCTGTCTGAGATCACTATTAAGTATGCATTCTTAACCCATTTTCTAGTAAGATCAATTTTAGCTATATTTTCATATAAATTATTCTGTCCGAAAGCTGGTCTGGCCTTGCTGCCTTCATGACAAAAAGTGCAAAACAGCAAACCATGGTATAAATTATTTCTAGTAATAAAAAGTGGCAGATATAAAAATCTCTCTTACTGCTTTTATTATCCTGCTTCTAGAGTACTCTCTTCTTCTGTTTTTCCCAGCACAGTGGTTCCCTGCAACCCTTTCTTGTTCCAGGAAGACTTGGCATATACTCCAGGGTTAGATGGCAATCTTTTCCTTTTTACAGAGCTCATACAAAATAATGAGTTGGAAGCGAAATGGCAAAAAAAAGCTTGGACCGTTGTGCTTCTCTCCCAGGCCTCTTCTATTGTACTTGAATTCTGGAATCCGGGGCACCTTTTATTACATTTTCCACAAAATAAATGATCAGTATCCCATCTGGCAGAGGCAAAGGGCAATCAATGGCTTTTAACAACCCACCTGTTTTTAGCTACATGCATCATTCCAAATTTATCTAAATTCTGAGACTCTCAAGGGCTATATGAAGTAATTATTTCTATTCTCATTACTATCCTGTTCTGCATGAAAATCAACTCTCCCTTTTCAATTTTCTGCATCTAAAATATCTCTTTGAAACCTTCTTCTGGTGAAATTTCTCCCACCATTGACTTTGTTTTTATTATTACTTAATTTCAGTTGGGTTAGAAAATAAGAAAATAAGTTAACATAGACAATACATCATGCTTAAATAGAAATGCCCCCATCCAAGTCTTAATTCTTTGTCACCAGATCAGAAGTCTTGAGATTCTAATGCACACCAGATGCAATGCACATCTTCTACAAATTAAACAACCCATTACAAAGTTTGTTCTGTTAATATAATTACAAAGCTCATATTTTAAATTCTATAATATCTTTATTTTAACATAAAATAATCACACTAATTCTTCTACTAACAGGTGCAAGTATCCCGCTGGGCGCTGTGGCTCATGCCTGTAATCCCAGCACTTTGGGAGGCCGAGGCAGGCGGATCACGATGTCAGGAGATTGAGACCATCCTGGCTAACACGGTGAAACCCTGTCTCTACTAAAAATACAAAAAATTAGGCTGGCTTGGTGGCGGTCCCCTGTAGTCCCAGCTACTCGGGAGGCTGAGGCAGAAGAATGGCGTGAACCTGGGAGGCGGAGCTTGCAGTGAGCCGAGATGGTGCCACTGCACTCCAGCCTGGGCGACAGAGCGAGACTCTGTCTCAAAAAATAAATAAATAAATAAAAGAAAAGAAAAGAAAACCATGGTCTGAGAAATTTACTTCTTATATATACTGTGCAAAGCAAGGCAAATTAGGAGAGTGTTTTTGATTTAAATATTTTGGATACTAATTATATAATATATTCTCAATAATAATATTGCCTGAATATACACACACACACAATTTCATTTATACATACACAAACACAAAAATTTTTACTTTCATATTACATGGAGCAAATATTTTCTGTTAGATTTTTTTCCTTATGAATTTGTTGTCATGAAAAGAATAGAGCAAAACAGGCTTTTAGAAAATAAGAATGCTCTTCAATGTCAAACCAAAGGTCAAGAGAATTTTTCTGTGAGAACATTAGATAAGATTTTCAAATTCTTTACTTGGTAATTTAGAGTTTCTTTGAAAAGATTTGACTTTTGAAGTACAGTTTTAATCATAGTTTTAGAAATAAGAGTATTATATCATAAAAGCCCTTCAGTTCAGATAATAGGAAGTTCATCCTTTTCATTCTTTTTAAAAATGTCATTGCAAATTTAATATATTTTACATGCTATCAGTATCAAAATAGCATCTCAATATAACTTCCCAGTTCTAAAGATTCTTTCAATAATTCTGTAGTACATTACTTCAGAAGTATCTTGTCTTCAAGAAATGTTTTTTAGTTAGTTCTCTTTTCCAAAAGATCCACCACACCCATGAATATTAGTCAATGATATGTTAGTGGTCACAAAAAATCAATGGGACTCTTTATTGGCCTAATTAATAAGGTATACTATGGTATTTATAAGGAGTAAAATTACATAAAATTTTGTTATCGCAATGTAGTAAAATGAGCAAATTATAAGTACATACAGGTAACTTTAACATTTAATCATTTACTTTCCTATACAGTGTTTCCAACATGGCATAATGTTAAATTGTTAGAAAAGTACTAAAAGTCATTCATCAAATCTTCAACAAAATAATTCCTTAGAAGTTAGTAAGATGGTGATAGACTATTTAGCTTCTTTATATGATAAGATTACCATAGGATTTACTGTCATTTTAGTTTACTCATTCAATTAGGGGCAACTTCTTTAAAGCAGCAATCAGGAAATAGCTATATATGACTATAGATCCACTAAGGTATATCCAGGAAATAAATACGTTAATTTTAAATTAAAAGTTAAATCACCATTCTTATAATACATGGTAATAATATTTAAGCCTTCTAGGCAGTACTTCTAAAACATTTATGAAACATTAAGTCTTTATTGTTGGATTGTGGGGAATCCTTGAAGAGACCACAGAAAAACAAATCAGCAAGCATTGTTCAACATTTACTACTAAGGTCCAGTCAGTAACACAGAAACATTAGATGTTTAAAAAGCGAGTATGTGGTATAAATAACAGGTTATACGGAAGATGGAAAAAGCAAAAAGAAAGGAAATAAGAGCGACCAAGAAATTACTGCAAGAAGCAATTATTATCCCTTGGGTTGATGGAATAGATTCAGAGGCCACACCCCCTCGCTGGCCCTGCTGCCTTCTGGCACAGGCTTCTCTGAGCCACCAACCCGCAGCTGCCCCGGCCACCAGCACCCCTGAGCAGCACCATGATAGATCAGGCCTTTGTGACATTGACCACAAACTATGCCTACACCAAAGGGGTGCCCCGGTCCGGGGCTCACCTCTAAAACAGCACAGGACCACCAGAAGCCTGGTCGTATTCACCACCCCGCAAGTCTCAAACTCCATGAGAAAAGTTTCAGCGACAGTCTTTGATGAAGTCATCATGGTAAATGTCTTGGACAGCAGCGATTCTGCTCATCTAACCGTAATGAAGGGGCCAGAGTTGGATGCCACGCTGGCAAAGCTCCACGCCTAGCCACTTACACAGTATTCAAAATGTGTATTCATGGATCACATTCATGATCAGATACTCTGATCCTAGCAAATATTGATGATCTTTTTGAGCGAGAAGAATTGTCAGCAGCACCAGACTAAGGGTGGCCTAACTGCTCCAATTCCGGAATCTTTGTTTATCAGCCTTCAGTTGAAACATATAATCAGCTGTTGCATCTTACTTCTGTGCAAGGTAGTTTTGACAGTGGAGACCAAGTCTTACTGAACACATTTTTTAAGCATCTGGGCAACAACAGATAATCAGAAAACACCTGCTGTTCATTTATAACCTAAGCAACATCACTATATACTCCTACCTCCCAGAATTTAAAGTGTTTGGTGCAAATGCCAAAGTTGTGCATTTCCTGGAAGGAGCCAAATCATGGAATTATAGTTATGATCCCAAAACAAAAAATGTCAAAAGCGAGTCCCATGATCCCAAAGTGACTTATCCAGCGTTTCTCATCCTGTGGTGGAGCATCTTTACCACCAATGTTTTACCTCTGCGTCAACAATTTGACCTTGTCAAAGACACCTGCTCATATGTAAATGTGGAAGATATCTCAGGAGGCATATCACATCTGTCCCTTGGGGAGATTCCAGCTATGGCACAGCCTTTTGTATCCTTGGAAGAACAGAAGAAGTGGTGGGAATAGGGCCAGGTTGATTATATGGGACCAGATTCCTTTGACATCAAGAGGACACGTGACACTTACCTCCAGTAGAAACACTGCCATTTCCTGTGGACATGTGTTCCTAATACTTAGTACCTAGAGCTCGGTTGAGAAAAGTCTGTTATGACTTTAAGAGGCTTTCACTAAAACTCATCAGAGGAGAGGTTTTCACAGGACAACAGGTGAGAACTGGGCAAAAGTTGTGAAGCAGCAATTCTGTTACATGGACAACGTTCCGCTTTTTAATCCTCTTTAGCGCATTTTAGAAATTCTCACTTTTACTGATTGTCAACATACACAATAAGGGAAACTCAATATTAAGCAGTTAAGGTGGCTATATCAGTTTTTAAAATCTGCAGACCCTGGTTCCAAATCAGTCACTACCTTCAGAAGAGGACATGGCATCTGTCCCTTCCTTGCTTGCTGGTTGTGTGTACCTTTCACTAGACCTGCATTTTAGAATTGCCCTGTGCTGCCAGAGTGAGTTGATTGTAATTCTGCTTTCAGGTAAAGAGAGCCTGTATTAACACTGCTGAGTGATCCATAAATGTATCAACAAATAGCATTAACCCACTTTATTTCCTGATCTTAGTGCCTGAAGATGTTCATCAGTTTTCTATATGCAATAAGGCAGCATGCTAAAATGCTGCAGTGGAACCCTGTATGAAAAACAAAGGCTTATTGCCATAAAAAGAGATTCAGAAATGGGTATTGAAAAGATCTGGAACATCTTAAGAAGAAAAACATGCAGAAAGAATTTAGGTTTTGAGAAGTAGGTGTGGCCCATCCACTGTGTGCACCTCAGAAAGTATATGAAGGCTGGTTTTAGGAGTAATGGAAGTAGCTGGAGGCGGGAACCACTGCTAGTGTGAAGTTCTGATGCTGAAGAGATGCTGACAGGATCTCTTCAATTTTGTACTTTGGCAAGTAATTTAATGTGTTTTTTAATTTAAACCAACATGTCAACATAACTTAGCAGAGGGAACAAATCTCCCTAAAATATTCAAATTAATATATGAACCCAAATACGTACTAAAAGATGTTGCCCCAATATCCTCAGTCATTTGAATTTATTGTTTGATCTAAACTTTTAAATAAATGATATTCTTGAAAATATTTTATTTATAGTGTGAAATAAATAGCTATTTCCAATTTTGAGGATGAAACATGTGGCTGAATGATTTAAGATAAATATATTTGTATCTCTAAAATAATATTAATATCTTGCGATTTTCATAAAATGAGATTTATTCTTCTCAGTTGTAGTTTATCTGCCCCAAACTTCCAAATCACCTGAAGGCTTTAAAAATATTTGAAACTATTAACTCATTATTATTTTTTTGAAATGCTCTTTATCATATTGATGACACTGTTCAGTACTGGTTCTCTTTTTGTCACTCTGGCACATTTGTTAGTCATTCTTTCCATCTCCTCTCATTCAATTAATTTTCTTAGCATCACAATGGTCAAGAAAAGCATAGGCTTTGGACTTCAATGTCCAAGTTGGAATTCATGCACGATCTCTTAGCCTGTCTCAACTCAGTTTCCTATTCATTAAAAAAATAATAATAACACTCACTTCATGTGATTATTGTAAGAGTACACAAGACCAAAATTGTAAAGCAATTAGAAACTGACTGGAACGTAGTAAATAACAATGCCAATACATGTTTGCTATCACTCTCAGCCTTTAAATGTTGGCGTATTACAGGACCATTCATAGACTTGTTTTTCTTCCATTTGTATGTACTACCAGAAATCCACCTCTAAGCACCTATGATTTCAATTGCTCTCTGTGTATTGAAAATTCCTCACATCTATATTTCCAATTTTATCTTGTCTTATGACTTCCAAAGTATTCCATTTCTTGCTCAAAATCTCTACATAAAACCAAGGATGTACATCACCAACTCACAATTTTTCCTTTAAATATACTCCTCTTCTGCTTTCTTTACATGGTATATCATTCACCAAGTTGGTTAAGCCAGACATATGTTGGCCATTTAGATTATTTTTTCTCCCTAACTCCTTATGGCTACTTAATCACACACCCTTCCCATTTTAAGTGCTAAAATTATGTTCTGTTTTATTTCTTGGTGCTCTGATTTTGTCCTAACTTATACAAGTTTTTCAAATAAGCAGCTGCAATACTCTGCATATTTAGACTTGCTCCCTTCTAACTAATCACACAAAGAGATCTTTGTAACATATTAATCTGCTGAAGTCATTTTCCTACATGAAACCCATCAACATCTTGCCAGACTCCTTCAAATAAAATTATGTTTCCATATATCTTGTAAATCACTGAATTTCCTCCCTCTTTCACACCATGCTTTAGTAATTACAAACATTTTAAAGTACTCAAGTGGACTATGGAAAATTGCATTTTCCAAAGAAGACAGTTACATATATGACTGGCTTTCCTGTGGCTGAGATGGACAGTTTCTGTTACATCTATCTGCATGTGAATGGGAGCCTGCACTTTCTCTAACCAGTAGAGCGCGGTAGAAATGATCCTAGATTTCTTCTAAGACTTAGTCATAAAAATAGAAGAGTTTCCACATCTCGCTCTCTGTCTCTCTATGTCTCTCCCTCTCTCTCTCTCCTGTCAGTCTTTCTGTCTCTCCCTCTCCCCATCACTATTTCCTCTATGTCTCTTTCTCCTCATCTCTAGCTCTAGCTCTAGCTCTATCAGAATGTTCACCTGTAGAAGGTAGAACCATGTTGTGAGGAAGCCCAAAAGAGTCCATGTAAAAAGAAAATAGAGTTTCCCACATAGAAAGGAACTGCAGTACAAAGTCACCAGCCAGCATCAACTGCCACACATGTAAGTCAAATATTTTTCTGACCCACACAATCTGAGTGTAGCAAATGGCGATTTATGCCATTAAATTTTGCTGTAATTTGTATGCAGGCATAATAACTGGAATAGGTGTCATTTCCTGTAGGAATTGGATCCCTGGAACATACTCCCCAGGAACATACTCCAATTTTTTAACCTCTCATATCATATCATTTTCTAACGTCATCAGTACCAGTATTTTTTATCAACATCTATTCATCTTCTTAATTTCAGTTTAAATAGTATCTGTTCCATACTTTTTCATCCCATAGATGAAAATAGTGTTTTTTTACTATTGCTTATTCCAATATACTCTGTTCTTCCTCTGTCAAAGTATGCTTCAAATTTAATATGATTCATTGTCTAACTTCATTAGAATTTAAGCTCAGCAATGGTAGAATATTCATCTGTCTTGCCATCATTATCCCTTCCTGTGCACAGTAGATATGCCAACTTGTGATAGGTGCTGAATCAGTATTTTCTGTATGAATACATGAATAATACATAGCAAAACTAATAATTATTATTATTAAACTTAAATAGCTTAATCAAATTGATAATTTCCACCAAGTCAATAGATTTGTAAATCTGGCAGACAATAAAAAAACTTTTGAAATATAAAATACTTGTAATTCCTGTAGTTTAATCTTTCAGTTGAAGATGGATTCTTAGATTTTGCTAAATTGAAAGAATATGTAGAGCTAAAATTGTGGACATAGAGAATATGTTCAATCATTTTGTATAAGAATTTGCCTGCAACAAGGTCTATGGTTTTAAAGAAAGTAAACAAGTAAATGCTAGAGAGGGTAGAGATATTAGAGAAGTATTGTAGGTATTAATGGCATTATTTTTAGCAATGGTTTTGTATAATTTGCAACATGCTTCCTGCCTTTATTTTTCTACAAATAAAGTTTCCAGTCCCCTTGGTCATTTGAACTAGATTTCTGTTTCCTGGCATTATTTGTATTATTGATTGATGTGATGCAATGATATTTGAGAAGAATTGCATAATATATGTAGATGGATATCAGAGTCACCTCCAAGATGCTTTGATAAACTTGGTTTAATATCTCTAATATATCTCAAGGTATTTTTGCATGTTGTTGGTAGGCTTATAAAATTATTACACAGGCTGATTTAAGCCATAAAACCAAGGAAAAAATGTATTTTTCACCATTTATGCTGTTTTCTAGATAAAATAATGCATGTTAAATATAATTGGTTATAAATCTACATGAAAGACAGGTAATATTAAAGTTACAGTCAATAATTAGAAAAATTATTTAGACTAGAAATAAACAAAACCTAGATATTATGTTTATGCCTACCTCTAAATACCTATATGTGCAGAGACTTGTTGAATAAATTATCTGGTCCTTAGATTGTATTAAGGAAGATGCACTAACACATATTTCAGGTTACTGTGACATAAAATGTAATTGAGATATTTATCTTTCCAAAAATTTTTTGGAGGACTGGTCTTAGGCAAATTTCTGACTTTCATCTATGCTGCCTTTTTACCCAGTTTTAATAGTTTAACTGCTCAGTTGTCAGTCATCTTTACTTATCTAGGAGCATTTGATTTGAACATTATATGTAATTATGGAATTCAAAGCATCAGCAAAACATTGGGAAACTTTGACATAAAGAGGAGAGGTAATTATCTCTTCCACCACTAGAATTACATATGTTCTAATTACCCTAACACAATGTCAGGGTGTCACCTGAACTAAAACTTAAATTCTCAACAATCAATCAAATAAACAAAAGCTGGATATTGTAGGTATGGATATAAATTTGGATGAAGATGGAGATGGAGATAGAGAGAGATATGAACTAGACCATGTATGTGATGCAGGATTTTTCTTTACCCCTTCACTGGACTCATGGCAGGGGTGTCCCCCCGACTTGGCCTGCCATGCTCAACTCCTTGTGGGGGGGAACACATGAGTGAGAGAGTGTGGTATCGAGCTGGCTGCTCTGGGCATCAACACAGGAGCAGACTCCACGTGGGGCCTTTGGGCAGACCAGATGTGTCACCTCCTGGGGAATGCAGCAGTGCCCAGGTGAGGGTGCCTGTGACCCCAAAGCCCCAGAGTGGGTGTTACAGTGCTCTTTTAGTTTCACCATCCATGGATGGTGGTGTGTTAGCAGCTCAGTTGGCCCCTTGCCTTGTAGCATGGGGTGGCTGCCCCCCACCAGTGAGGGCAAAGGGTTGGTGTGACAGACTTTCTGGGCACCTACAATCAGTGAGTCCCAAGCACTTGTCCGGCATTCAAAAATGAGGTCACATGGACAGCTGAAGACTGGTGAAGGCAGGGAATTTTATTGAGCAATGAAAACAGCTCTCAGCAGAGTGGGAAGCTGGAGAGGGGAGCTAGAGAGAGGACTGGAAGAGCAGTTTCTCTTTGCTGAAGTCAGGTTGTCTCTTCCCTGAAGTCAGGCTGTCTCTCTTCCCTGAAGTCAGGCCATCTCCTTCCCAAAGTCAGGACATCCCCTCTTCTACTGACTGAGTCTGGGGTCTTTATAGGCACAGGAAGGGGAGTGCATGCTGATTGGTTTGTGAGTATGCCAAAAAGGTTAAAGTGAAGACACCACTCAAAGGTGGGCGTGAAAGGGTAGAAAACCAAATAGTAAAGGGTAGGTATCTGTAAAATAGGTGAAGGGTGAGGAAGGCATGCCAAATAGGAAGACAAGTTCTCAGCCAAGTCTAAGAATTTAACTTGTAGCTTGGTTTGCAGGCTTTACACGGTCTTTGCCTTAGAGGTGGGATTTCACTGGGTACCCGCTGCTATCTTCCTAGGCATTTGTCTGCCTCCTGTTACTGTCATGTACATATGCAATTTTCCCTAAATTCTACTGCAAATAATCACTATAACATAAATTTAACATTTCTAAAGATAAATTTATTTTTTATTCTTTACAAGTCTTTTTCACCTCAAATCAATTTCTCAATCAATGGCATCACAGCATCATGAGAATCCTCTTGCCCAAGTACAAAATACGGAAATAACCTAATTTTACCTTTCTTACTTTTTCTTCGTTATCCATCAGTCAGAAAATACAGATAGCTGTAGGTGAGAATTATATGTCAAACCTGGCTATTTCATGCTATTCAAAAAGACACTATTATAGTTCCAATTCACTTAATTTTGTTTTCCATACTATTATAAAATGTTCTTACTGGAATCCTTGCATGCAGTCAGACCATCAATCTTCAGGCTTCCCTTGTTTTCTCTAGGAGGACTGATTACATTTCAAGATAACTCTTTGACCCATGGGAAATCACATATCATTACTAAGCTCTTTGTGTGCTGGGCTACCAAAGGTCCTCTCAGCCAAAATCCCCAAATCTAGCTTTCAGAATTCCTATGGTAGAAAGCAAGCATTCACACTCCATGTTTACCACTCCGAAATTCTTAGAGACAGTGCTTTGGACGTGCCCTCACATAAAATGCAAGTTTTTTTCTCTCTTGCAGTGATAGCAAACCTCTTCTTAATCACAGACCTGGTTTAAAGTTAATCAAATTGTACTGTATTAGAGACTTTTGTTAAATAAATTGATTTTTAGCTGCTCCTGTCAAACACACAAAAAAGTAACTATGTGAGATGATAGATATGTTAATCTGCTTCACTATAGTAATCTTTTTTTTTTTCTTTTAGAGAGACAGGATCTTGCTCTGTTGCCCAGGCTGGATTACAGTGGCAATCAGAGTTTACTGCAGCCTCAAACTCCTGGAATCAGATCTTTTCACTTCATTTTTTTTTTTCCATAGAGATGGGGTCTTGTTATGTTGCCCAGGCTGGTTGCAAATCCCTGGCCTCAGGTGATCCTCTCACCTTGGCCTCCCAAAGCACAGAGACTACAGGCATGAGCCACTGCACCTGGACACTGTAGTAATGATTTTACCACATATATGTACTCCATAACTTCATGTTGTAAATATCAAATATATACAAGAAAATTTATTTAAATAAGAAACCTGACCAAATTGCTCAGGAAGGGAAGGGTCATTTTATAACATTCCTTATTGTTCTGAACTGTGTATTATTTTTTCTTTGTCTAAGTAAACCTAGTTTGTATGGTGCCCCTCTCTGTGTGTCTGATATACAAGACTCTGAAAGATTTTTGCCTCCTTTTTGACAATTGAAGTACAGGTTTGAAGTACTGAAGTCAGGTTTGGAGCTCAAAATCATGAGATTATAGAAAATTGTAGGCACTATTATATAGATTATACTCAATATTGATATATTCTGTTGGTGCAAAAATAATTGCCGTTCTTGCCATTACTTTTAATGGTAAAATATCTAATGTTATATGAAATCAACAGTTATAGTTAAACTTTAATTAATATTTATGGATAGTCACAGATTTTGTAAAAGACTGTTATTTAAATGCATGTTCTCTTTTTATGAATTTCTATATAATGCCTTATAAATTGTGTAAATAAGCAATAAGTACATATGTGCATATTTTCCCAATTTTGTATTATCAGTACATATGATTAAAAAATTATCAACTTATTTTAAAATCAAACTTGATTTATTGTCTGTGGTTTAAATTTCCTACAAAATCACTTGAATTGTTTTTATGTCAATATGTTTGAATATATGTCCAAAGACACCTGGCCACTATAGTAGTAATTTTACCACATATAAATATTCCATAACTTCATGTCATAAACCTCAAATATACACAATAACATTTAAATAAGAAACCTGGCCAAATTGCTGAGGAGGGGAAGGGTAATTCTGCAACATTCCTGGTTGTTTTGAACCGTGTATCATTTTCCCTTTGTCTAAAGAAATAAAACCTAAACATAGAATACACACACAGAGGCATTCACAGCCACACATATGTGTTTGTCTGTATGTGCTTGTGCATATACTAATCTATGGGTATATAAAATGTTAAATGCATAACTGAGATTATTGGAAAGAAACTGGTGTGATCAATACGTTATGACTTTAGGTTATAAAGCAAGTAATCTATTCATCTCTGTTAAGTAACAGGAGATAAACATGAATCCCTCACCAGGTCAGGGCCTATATAAAAGATTTATGTGAAAACTAGCATCAAGTGATTTAATTTTAAAAAGTAAGTTTGTAGTTTTAACTTAATCACAACACTTAAAAATATATGAAGAAAAATGGACAAAATATAGAGGTGAAATATAATTATAGTTTGAGATATTTAAGCACTCTTTAGGGAACTGAAAGAAAAACAGACCCAAACTTAGTGAAAGCACTGAAACATTAGACAATACCATTAACAACTATGAGCTAATAGGCATGTGTAGAATCCCACTCCTACCACTGAATGATATACAGTCACTCCTCCATATCTGCAAGGGATTAGTTCACAGATATCTGCAAATATTGAAATATGCAATTGCTCAATTTCTACATATAAAATGGCATAGTACTTGCATACAATCTACAAAATCCTCCTGTATACTTTAAATCAACTCTTTATTTCTTATAATACCTAATATAATGTAAGTGATATTTAAATAATTGGTAGTTTTACTTGTGTTACATTTTATGGTTTTATAGTTTTTGTATTTTTTATTTTTTTCAAATATTTTCAATCTGCGGCTGGTTGAATCAGCAGATACAGAACGTCTATTGTACTTTCCTTTTAAGTATATAAAAAGGAGGTTACACTATACTAAGCCAGAAAACATATATCAACAACAAAAACAAAAGATTGAAATTTTTAAGGATGTGTTATTTGAACATATTTTAATTAAGCTAGATGTTGTCAGCAAACAAAATTTTCCTTATGTTTGGAAATTTGGTAGCATACTTCTAAGTAAACTATAGGTCAAAGTGAAAATAGAAACCAGCTAGATAAAGAATAGGAGAAAAAGGAAAGTAAAAGAACGAAATAAAAATAGAGAAAATGCAGAAAGAAAACAAATACAAAATTTGTGAAAAGACAAGACAGCATATTGTTAATAAATAAGTTGTAATCCCTGGGAAATTGCAGGATTCTTTGAGATAAAGTTGTATGGAAATAAGAGCTACGGATTGGGACTGGAAAAAAATAATTTAAAAAATTCTTACCATAACATGAAATTGTCTGATAAAGTATTCTTACCATGAGAGAAAGAATGAGTCTGTCAAATCTCATCCTGGATATTGATGCACAGATGCAGAAATCAAAGTGTGTATTGAGGAGGAAGAAAGGCTAACATGAGTGCTGAGAGGACACAAACAATCCAGAGTATTTGGCAAAGAAAGAATTTGTTAAAAGTTTTGGAAAAAGTAAGCAGATGTTCAGAGCAATACCTGCTGGGTGTAGGGGTAGAAGCAATGGCACTTCAAGAGTTGGATAAGTACTGATTATAAAGTCTAAATTTAACAAGCAGGCATAGCAATTTACATTTGGAGTATTAATGTGTCATGTGCAGATTACTTGAGAAATCAAGCTATTTATGCATATTTTCCCCACTGCCACCCTCATCTGTATATTAGATTATGGGCCCTCCATTTATCCTTGGGACATGTCTACAACCATATTTTTCTGTACTAAATTCAGATAATGTGCAATTCAGTGTGAGATAGTATAGCATGTTTTAAAATTGGTGAAAACTGGTAAGAGATCTGTAATAATGACCATTTGTCTAGCAGCTCCCTTCTACTCACACATGGAAAGTAAAACAGTTCTTTTAAGATAAAAGTGAGGAGTTTAAGTGAAAATGATTACGAGATAAGGAGCTAAAACTGTGAAGTTGCCCCTGACTTTTAAGCAAAGTCTTAAAGGAGAAAAGCTTGGGAAGCAGGGAATTCAGGAGATGGTCCTACATGAAGTTCTGGAATGTCTAAGAGACGGAGAGACTGTCTTATCACTTTCCAGCTGCAGCGTAACTGAGGCAATCCTCTAGATATATCTTATACCATTAGACTTGATGTACATTGGTAAATTCAGTCAAACAGTCTGAGACTTCAAAACCTAACTTGTGCAAAGAGCCAAGAGTGACATGGAAGTGAACTCAGCATGCGATAATGAAAACATACATAAGCCCAGCAAACTATGTATCAAAAAGAGGGGATATAAATTAAGAAGATGGCAGTCGGTGGAAACAAGCTATTTCTCAATGAATACAGCTATGAGAATGAGCTGTCTTGAGAATGATGTCACTTGTTAGAATCAGTGCCAAACATTTTTTTTTAAATGAAGCAAATGTTTGTGAAAGTGGATTATACAAACTGGGTCGGTCTTGTCATACTCAACTAAATCAGGTCAAGAGGCCAGGGAGAAAAGCACTCAGGGCACATAGCTCCAGCTGCAAGAATTAAATTTTCTACAAACCCCACTGCTGAAAAGGCCAGACATAATCCTAAGACCAATTTTACCTAGTAGTTGCTAAAATCACCTGACCTGACTGGTTTTACCTAAAGCTTCTCTACTGCCAATAAGCTTTTCTTTGAAACAATACTTAACATTTGTCTTTTTAAAAAAGCTCCCAATCTTCTTTGTTCTTCAGGCATCCTGAGTACCACCCTGTCTGTGTGTATGGCCCAAACTTCAATTCTTGCTTCCCAAACAAAACGTTTTGAAATCAGAGATTTGTCTATATTGTATTTGATTTTGGCATGTTCTAGAAAGAGGAAAAGCCATTCTAGCATTAAAATGGTTGGATTCTCATTAACAATATTTTCTCCAGTAGGCAATGGTACTCGAAGTTGCAAAGTATTAACTCATCAGAATAAGTAATAGAAGAAAGTCTAAAAGAATTTTGAATCTGACTGTAACTTATTTAATGAGTCTAAATCATTGAAAGCTTTTATTGGAATAGACAGAGGAAAAATGAGTGAATTAGATAAACTCGCCTGCACTAGAGAAGGGGCTCACAGTTAGAAGATAAATTGGTGAATTAAATTGCAGAACTAAAATGTCATTGCTTTTAACTCCAACAACTGAGCCTTAAACAACATAAAGAAAAACACCTGAGCCTTATACCGTATGTTTGTGTAATACAAATAAACACATTTTAATTACTTTTTCCCAAGAAAGATACTGCCTTCTAGTGATGGTGGATCACCTCCTGAGTTGTAGAATTCCTTAAAATTGGGAACAGAATTATTTTTCCACATTTATTGTTAAATTTATTGTTCAATTGAGAGCTCAAAAAAAATAGCCAAAAGAGAGTGAAATGGAATGGTTAGTTTTGAAAACGAGTGAGAGCTGGGGCAGTTGGGGGTTGTGGGAGAAGGAAGGGAGGTGGGAAGAGGAAGGAGTGGAATAGGAAGAAGAAATTTTAGCTGAATTAATAAAAAAAAATTTCAGCAGAAATAAAGACTTCAGTAAGCATAGTAAATTAAAAGCAATTCTAAAGTGATCTGGGAACTTAAATAAAGGAGTAAATGGAGACAGGATTTTGAAAATGCAAAGCACAAATGGAGCTTCACACCTAGGAAATTAGCCTATGTAATCATAGGCAGGCAAAATGTTTTCAATCTATTGACAAATAGGCTATAAAAATATTTCTTCTTCATAGGATTGGAGACGGAGAAATGGAGACAATGTCCTCACTCTCTTTGCCCCTGAAGAGTTATCCATAGGAACTGCTTCCCAGTTACTGTCCCTGAATTCAGGGGGCTTCCAAGTCAATGGTTAAAAAAACGGCCACTGGGCACAGTGGCTGTCAGTAGTCTTAGTGACTTAGGAGGCTGAGGCAGAAGGACTGCTTGAGGCCAGGAGTTCAAGCCCAGCCTGGACAATATAGCCAGACTCCATCTCTAAAAAAATAATTAGCCAGGCATAACAGCCCATGCCTGGAGTTCGAGGCTGCTGTGAGCTATGATTCTGCCACTGCCCTTCAGCCTGGGCAACAGACTGAAACCCTGTCTTTAAAAAAAAAAAAAAAAAAAAAAGAGGTAAATAATTCCAAAATTTCCAGTTGTTGCTAGAAAGAATTTTTATTGCTTCCTTGCAGCTTCCTCAATGAATCCAGAATAGTGGCATAAGTTTCAAATAATATGAGAAGCAAATGTAAAATGTTACAATTATGCTAAGGTAGGGTTTAGAGAAAATTCCAGAGAAAAGTTTCTCCAATCTAAATTCACAAGCATAGCAACATCATTATAGATCTATTTTGTTCATTACCTCTAGTTAGTATGGTTTTATTCTAAACAGATGGTAATTTATTAAAGTTTAATATCATATTTTTCAAAATATGCATATTGGGCTGTGAAATACAGACTTTGTGATATCTTTAAGATAATAACCTAAGAAATGCTTTAAAGTATCACTCCATAATTGACACCCAGATTTCAATAAAAATAGGAGTTTGAGGTTTTTCAGTATTTAGAAAAAAAGTTGTTTCTAAAATATATTGAATTGTGGTATTGGATCAATAGTCACTCTTTGGTACATAATCTGCACTGATATGAAAGATAATGAGTTTTTATGATAAGAGGAAGAAAGAGGACATAGTAAAATACCTGGCATATCGATTCAGTCAACACTTATTTAGAGAACTGGATATTTGCCAGGCATTGTGTTAGATATTACACATGAAATGGTGAATATGACAGAACTTTAAATATGATCAATGGGGGTTTAGTTAGATCCTGGTGCATATTTATTTAACGAGTGAATGAGTTCAAAGTATTCAATTTTGTTTCATGTCTGCAACACTAAAGTATTATGTTAGTTTTGCTAGCATCATCATTTATGTGAAGCTCAGTTGCTTCAGCTATGGATGAATAATATTTACCTCACACAGCAGACAAGAAGAGGATAGATAATGACATTGTATACGAAATGAAAGAGTATAAGTGTAATTAAGCACTCAGAAATGATTTTTCCATTGTTGTTTCTTGGAGTATTGGAAAATTGTTGCTAACTAATGGCCTTTTGTGAATCCATCCAACAGTACATCATTTGATGAAGTTTCACTCCAATTTTAATTTATTGTCATGCAAGCTACTCGATTGTTTTATTTATTAATGATCATGTAATCTATTATGTCTGAATATTGAGAGTTAGAATTGTGAAAAAATGGTAAAGTAGAAATTTGAATTATTCTACATTAATAGAATGTAATTTATATCTCTTAATGAAATGTATTACTTTATTTGCCAATACAGATAAGTTCAATGTAATGATAGTATCTATATTAAGTAATTTATGTGCAAATGTTGCCACAAATTCAGTGCAGAATATATAACATTATACTTAAAAATCATTAGTATATCAAGGCCAGATTTTCTTAAATGTTAAACAAATGCAGGATTATCTTTGTATTCTACCTATTTTCCAGTTTCTACATTATGCTTCACACAGCTACAACTCATTTAGTCCATTCTGTAGATTTATTTTCATCTTTGTCTCTAGAACACATTTTTATGCTGGCATGGCAAAACTTAAGGATATTTAATTTATTATTCTTTGTTACTTGCCACTATATAATTGTGTTAGTGCACTCATTTGGGTTTTGTGCCACAGTTTGGATAACTAATTTGCTGCTTACCCCCATGTGTATGAGACTTTGCCTTGGTAACTTGCCTCTTCTATTATTTTGACTAAGATAATGGCTCTACTTTGCTCCAGATAAACTCTTTTCTAGTATTTCGTTGAACTCCTTTCTAGTATTTTGTTGTCTGCTCTCAAACTTTAAGGTGGTAATAGCCTGATGATAACCATTTCCTCATCTGCTTTCCCATCTGAATTATTTCACAATGTTACCTTATGCAAAATATTCTGCAGCAGTTGCTCTCTTAGGTTTTCAGCAAACTTAAGTTCTTTGTGGTCTTTTTTGATCTACTATTGTATTAGTCCATTTTCACGCTGCTGATAAAGACATACCAGAGACTGGGCAATTTATAAAAGGAAGAGATTCAATTGGACTTACAATTCCAAATGGTTGGGGAAGCCTCACACTTATGGTGGAAGGCAAGCAGGAGCAAGTGATGTGTTACACGGATGGCAGCAGGCAAAGAGAGAGCTTGTGCAGGGAAACTCCCATTTTTCAAAACCATCAGATCTCTTGAGACTTATTCACTATCATGAGAACAGCACAGGAAAGACCTGTCCTATCTTTCAATTACCTCCCCACCGGGTCCCTCCCACAACATGTGGGAATTCAAGATGAGATTTGGGTGGGGACACAGTCAAATTATATAAACCATCATCTCATGTTCTGTAAGAAAACTAGACCCAATCACATACAATTGCTGATTTAAAATGCTGACAACAAACTGACCAGCTGATTTAAAATGCTGGCAACAAACTTGTTCCTGGTGTTTCCTCCCACACAAATTATGTTTCTAGCTTGACAGATAACTCTTTCTCTGATTCTCTGAAATTCTTCCTGTATATGCTTCTCTTCTCCTGTTATTTTTCTTCAGCCTTTCTAGACTTTGAATTTGATTGGTGTTAACTTGCCTGCCTCTTTGAGTAAGTACCTCAGGCAAAAATTCACAAATCCATTTAGGACTCTCAAAACACAACCCCTTAAAATTTACCTGTTGACTTGCTGCGTCCTGGTCAACACCAGAACCATTTAAGTTTGACAACTCAGACATCTACCAGAACTAATTTTTCTCAATTTTATCTGCTTTATTTTGCTTATTTAATTAGTCTAATTGGTTCAATTTATCTAAGTTACCAAATTTGTTGACATAAACTTTCTTGTAGTATTCTTTTTGTTATCCATTTAATGACCATGAAATTATTAGTCATGATATTTCTTTCATTTTTGATACTGGTAACGTTTTTCTCCATTTATTTATTGGTTATTCTAGACAGAGTTTTATTGAACTTTTCAGAGAACAAATTTTAGATTTCATTGATTTTCTCTATGGTTTTCTGATTTTAATTTCGTTGATTTTTGCTCTAATATTCATCTTTTCTTCTTCTTGCTTTAGACTCAAATTGTTCCTTTTCTTCTAGTTTCCTAAGGTAAAATCTTAGGTTATTGAATTTACAGATATCTTATTTTATGACATTTGCACTTAATGCAATAAATTTTCGTCTTGACAATGCTGCCATTGGATCTCACCAATTTGAATGTTTGTATTCATTGCATTTTTTTTTTTTTTTTTGAGATGGAGTCTTGCTCTGTTGCCCAGGCTGGAGTGCAGTGGCGCCATCTCAGCTCGCTGCAACCTCTGCCTCCCAGGTTCAAGTGATTCTTCTGCCTCACCCTTCCAAGTATCTGGTACTACAGGTACCCGCCACCATGCCCAGCTAATTTTTTTTTTTTTTTGTATTTTTAGTAGAGACGGGGTTTCACCATGTTGATCAGGCAGGTCTCAAACTCCTGACCTCAGCTGATCCACCTGCCTTGGTCTCCCAAAGTGCTGGGATTATAGGCATGAGCCACCATATCTGGCCCTTATATTAATTTTTATGTAGTTAAAATATTTTTAATTCTCACTGGTCTTCTTTTTTGACCAATGTGTTATTTAGAAGTCTATTAATTGTGAAATATTTGGTAATTTTCTGGCTACCTTTTTGGCATTTCTTTCTAGTTTAATTCCATTGTGATCTGTGAATATATTTGTTTTATCTCTATTCTCTTAAATTTATGTTGGATTTTACATCTTAGGATATGGTTTCATTTGGTGAATGTTCCATGTGACCTCAAGAAGAAGGTGCATTTTTCTGGCTGTTGGTTGCTGCATTTCTTATATGTCAAATAGCTCAAGTTCATTGACAGTGTTGTTCAGGTCAACTATATCTTTATTGATTTTCTGCCTGCTTGATTTGTCAATTACTGGAAGAGGAGTATTGAAGTCCCCTACTATCATAGTAGACTTGTCTGTTTCCTCCTTTTAGTTCGATCAGTCTTTAGTTTGACCTTATTGATGCTGTCTTGTTAGGTGCATACAAGTTGAGAATTTATTTTGAAAATTGATATATTTATCTTTATATAATATCTCTCTTTGTTCCTAATAATTTTCCTCCTTCTGAAGTCAGCTTTTTCTGAAATAAATTAGGTAATTTTGCTTTCTTTTGATGAGTATGAGCATGGTATACATTTCTTCATCCCTTTACAATTAATCTACTTGTGTCTTTATATTTAAAGTGTGTTTATAGTAGACAGTATAGTTAGGTTTATTATCATTATTCTTTCATACAACTTGTGTCTTTAATTTGGTATATTTACTTCATTCTCATTTAATACATTTACTTATGCAATTGGATTAATCTGTGTCACATTTATAGCTGTTTTCTATAGATTTATTTCCTCTATCTCCTGCCCCAACTCTTTTCTTGCCTTCTGTGGTTGTAGGTAAACATGTTTTTTATTCCTATCTCCTTTTTTTGTCAGTCAATTATGTTACCCTGAAAAAAATATTGATTGGTTTAGAGTTTCCAATACACAATTTAAAGTAGTCTATGACTCCCTTCAAATACACTATACTGCTTCAGGTGTAATGCAGGTACATTATAACAGAGTATTTAATGTCCCTCCCTTTCATCTCTATGACACTTTGGCCATTCAATTCAATTATACATGTATGACAATCACCTATAACATGTTTCTATTATTGATTTAAACAGTTGTATTTTAGACTAGTTAATAAGAAGA